>NW_011332691.1:300000-415308 GCF_000001405.40 Homo sapiens | reverse complement strand
GAATTCATCCCAATTTGGACACCTTTCATGTCTCAAGATGGCTGCCAGCAGCCCCTGCAGCTACCTACTTTCTTGTTACCATCTGTCAGAAAAGAGATTATCTGTGTCCCAGCCTCCCCAGCAAATGTCCTCAGATTCACCCTGATTGGATGCGTTTGGGTAAACACTGAATCATTCATCACTGGCCACTGAAATGGGATGGCTGGTTGGCTTTGTCTGAGTCATGTGGCCATTCCTGGAGCTGAAGGCAAGGTCAGGGGGACTTTGGGAGATGGAGGATGGAGCACAAAACCAGTAAGGTTACTGATAAACGTCTACCACCCTTTTCACCAATGCTCCCATGTGCAGGGCTCAGCTCTCTCTTCAGAAGAGGAGTGGTGAAGTGACAGCTTCCAGCGGCCACACCTTCATCTCGAGATCCACCCCAGTGTTTGCGCTAAGGCCACACTCTTCCTGGCCTGTTCCCAGCAGCTGGCTGGTCATAGCAAGGTGCTGGAGCTGGGCCATTCCTGCCCAGTGAGTGACTCCCATCCTCTCCACACCTTCTTAAGCTTACACTGCACTGTGGGGCTCCTTCTCACACTTGTCTGTCTTCCTTTTGGTCTGCCCCCTGCCCCACTCCTGTTTCCTTTTCCCTTTATTCTTCCTTCACAGACATTGCACTTCTAATTCTATCTTGGCTTCTGCTTCCCAGCAAATGAAACTGACACATCCTGGTTTTCTGAGCTACTCTCTGAGTGTGCCTCTGATTTTCAGAGGAGCTCAGCTCAAACCCACTTGCTCCACAAGTGCCTGTGGGGCCGATACTGTCTCCAGTATACAGAAGGGGAAGCCAGGGTTAGAGGTTGAGTAGCTTGCCTGATGTCACCCATGCAACAAGGGGAGCCTTGGCTTCCGAACCCCATCTTTACCTCTCTGCAGCCCGTGCTCTCTACCAGCTGTAGACGCTGTTCCTGGTAGAGCCTGGTGAGGTGGCCTGAGTCTCTCAAGGTCACCCCTGGCTCAATGGAAGAGGAGAGGGTGCATCGCAGCGTGTGTTCCCTCCAGTCGGATTTCCTTGAATCACTCGCACCTGGGGGAAGGAAGATGAGGAGGGGGATTGTCGGTGGATGGGCAGGATCTCTGTACTGGGGGCGGGAGGGGCGTTGCCACGTTGAGCACCGACACTTGAGAAGTGACACGGCTTCGTTTGTACACAAACCATCCTGCATGGTGTTTAAAAACAAAGGGCAAAGTCAGACGTTGCTCGAGGGCCCGGAAAGCCAACTGCGAAGCAGGCGGGCAGCTCCCGGATGGCCCCGCGTTGCCCCTGCTCCCACGCTCCCGGATCAGTGAGAAAGCCTGCGCCCCGCCCTGAGAGCCAACCCGCTAATCCGCGGCATCGTCCACCAATGTGTCTAATGAGGTGGCATAACCACCCAGCTCTCCCCGGAGCCGCGCAGGGCCTCCTGGCTGAACTAGCGGGTGTAGCTCCGTCGGGTCCTCGGGCGTCGCGGGGCGGGGCGGGGTGGGGCCACTGCGCGTGCGCGCGGACCGGGCGGGGCGGGGCCCAGGGCAGGTGCCTGGAGGAGGGTCTCCCAGCGGCAGGGGCAGACGCCAAGCTTGCTGAGGCTGGAGTGTATGCTTAATCACAGTCGACTGAGGGGCTGTTTAAGAATTGTAAGAAGCTGTTCCAGGTGAAGTTCTGAGCAGAGCTACAGAAGGTCGCGGTCTGGAAGCTGCTGGGAGGAGAGGGGCGACATCAGTGGCTTTCGTTGGGGGAAGGCACCCGCAGGATTTCCTGGGATGGGGAAACAATAACCTGGAATACGAGGAGGCTGTCCTAGAAGAGTCAGATTGCCCACTCCCATCCCACCCCCATCCCCAAGCTGATGAAATTGGCGCGAAGCAGATCCCTAAATTCACAAGCTTATCTAATTCCTGCCAATAACACAGTATTTCTGTTTCTGCGGATACCTGGCTCTCGGGGCACATTGAAGCTTCACCTGGAGAGGATGGAACAGAGAAGACGATCAAAAACAGGGCCTTCCTGGAACCAAATGCCAATAACAGCCCTCAGGTGCCTAGCTAGCCCTTTACAGATTGCAAAGGGCTTTCTTCTACCTTGCCTCGTTTTCAGCAGGGGCAGGCAAGTGATCCCATTTTAAAGCGAGGAACCCGAGAGAGCTCAGGCTTTTCCCAGGTTGGGCACAGGGTGCAGTGGGAACTAAGGACTCAGTGAGTAGGGGTCACCCAGGGAGCCATGGAAGATCTCCCAAAGAAAGGATGAACAGGAGTTGGATGAGCAGAGGGACGTTAGGGTGGGGTGTTCATGTCTCAGGTGGAGAGATGTGGTGGGTGAGGGAACAAGATTGCTCAGGGTGGCTGAACACGGGAGGGTTAGCAGAGCTGGGGAATTGGGGGGCAACCCACGGAAAGACACATCCACTTGTGGGCCCAGATCAGCATTGTGTCACATTAAGAAAAAGGGAGAACTCAATTCACTATCCATAGTAATTGAAAAGCAATTGAATATTTATTGTAGCCTCTGGTGCACTTCATTTGTAAGGCACAGCCAATACAGCTGGCCCTCCATATCCATGGGTTCCACGTTCCTGGATTCAGCCAGCTGTGGGTGGAAAACCACTCAGAAAAAATAAAAAGGATAATTCCATACTGAACATTCACAGACTTTTTTTCGTGTCATTATTCCCTAAACAGTACCGTGTAACAACTATTTCCATAGCACTTACATTGTATTAGGTATTATAAGTAATCTAGCGATGACTGGAAGTATATAGGAGGATGCACATAGGTTATATGCAACTTCTATGCCAATTTTTATCAGGGACTTGAGCATTGGCAAATTTTGGTATCCTGGGGGTCCTGGAACCAATCGCTTGCAGATATTGAGGGACAGCTGCATTGTAAAAATCTTCTTTTTCTTTCTTTCATTCTCTTACTCTCTTATCCTAGCCACTGCCCCCAAAGATGCATCTTTCCCCTTCCAAATTTCCCCAGTTCTCCTTCAGACTCTGCCTTCAGAGGGTTCCTGCCTCTCCTCTCCTTCTCCCCTTCCGTGGCTGTGGTTTTAACCCTACAGTACCTTTTTAATTAATTAATTATTATTTTTTCTTTTTTGGGAGACAGAATCTTGCTTTGTCGCCCAGGCTGGAGTACAGTGGCACGATCTCAGCTCACTGCAACCTCTACCTCCTGGGTTCAAGCAATTCTCATGCCTCAGTCTCCTGAGTAGCTAGGACTACAGATGCACCCCAGCACACCCGGCTAATATTTTTATTTTTTTATTTTTAGTAGAGATGGGGTTTCATTATGTTAGGCCAGCTGGTCTCGAACTCCTGAGCTTAGGCAATCCACCCACCTCAGCCTCCCAAAGTGCTAGGATTACAGGCATGAGCCACCACCCCCGGCCTAACCCTACAGTACCCTTAGATTTCCTTCCCAGTATAAACTCTGCTTTCCCTGTGGCTTTTTGCACTTCGGAAAGTGGAAAGAGATTAGTGCAGGAGTCAGCAAACCAGGGCACTGAGGCCATATCCATCCCACTGCCTGTTTTTGTATAGCCTGCAAACTGAGGATCTTTTAATTTCTTTTTTTTTTTTTTTTTGAAACGGAGTCTCACTCTGTCACCCAGGCTGGAGTGCAGTGGCACAATCTCGGCTCACTACAACTTCTGCCTCCTGGGTTCAAGCAATTCTCTTGCCTCAGCCTCCCAAGTAGCTGGGATTACAGGTGCCTGCCACCATTCCTGCCTAGTTTTCTTGTAATTTTAGTATAGATGGGGTTTCACCATGTTGGCCAGGCTGGTTTCAAACTCCTGACCTCAAGTGATCCATCTGTCTCGGCCTCCCAAAGTGCTAGGATTACAGGCATGTGCCACCGTGCCCAGCCCAAACTGAGGATTTTTTTAAAAAAATTTTTAATGATTGAAAAGAATTTATGGAGATGTCTTTTCTCTTTTGTTATGTAGGTACTTACCTAATAGCCTTGATTCTGCCCCTTGGTCCATAAAACTTAGAATATTGTACCATCTGGACCTTTACAGAAAAAGGTTGCCAATCCCTGGTTTAAGAGAAGGGGTTTGTGAATACCTATCCAGTAGCATTTTGGATGCCTGGCCCATGGCTTCTGGGGTTTCCATGCCCTCCTGGGGGAGGCTGTGCAGAAAGCTGGGACAAGAGGAATGAGGCTGATACTACCCCGAATCCCACCACAGGGGTGGTCCCATGGCTCAGGTCTGGCCAATCAGAGTACCCTGTTCTTCTGGCCACAGTGATTGGTTCAGCAATAAGCAGGTGTCTCAAGCCTAGTCAATCAAAGTCCTCTTGGGGCTTTGGCCAGAGCTACTAGAAATGATACTTTTTCTGAGTTGGTAAGCTGGAAGGAAGCCATTATTCAGAGGATGATTATCTTTGTATCTATGTGAGGAAAACCTTTCTGGAAAAGAAATTGCATATACCAGAAAGCAGACATGGAAGGAAGAAGGGAGGAAGAGAGAGAGAGAGAGAGATTGACACATTTGACATTGTTTGAGACTCAGCACCCAGCCACCCCTAAAGCTCCTTCCACCCTGGACCTTCAGTCATGCAAGCCAGTAAAATGCCTGCCTGCCTGCCTGCCTGCCTGCCTGCCTGCCTGCCTGCCTGCCTTCCTTCCTTCCTTCCTTCCTTCCTTCCTTCCTTCCTTCCTCTCTCTCTCTCTTTAGCTGAATTGGGCAGAGTTCAGTTACTTGTATCCAAACACATTCTGAGCAATATATGGGCTTTACCAGGTACTTTGGAACCTTGGATTTCTCCCCTTGGTACCCACAACCCCTGCCATGTAACTTTCAGTGCCCTCTCACTCTGACTCTGGACTCCAAGTGACTTGCTTTGGCCAATAGCATGTTTGCAAACATTATGTAGACACAGTGGGACTTGTATTGTCTTTAGTAGCCCTTGGAGCTCCTCCAAGCCCATATAACAGTCCCAGTCTGGGCCACTACATGATGATAGACATATAGAGCCAAGATGAGCCTTCCCATCCTCTTGACCAACAAGCCTCGAGCTAGGATGGCTGGAAGCCAACTGTAGGCACATGAATGATCACAGCAGAGGCCAGCGGAAGAACCGCCCCCACTGAGCCCAGCCCACAGAATTATGAGATAAACAAATGGTAGGTGTTTTAAAGCACTAAGTTTTGGGGTGATATGTTAGGCAGCAAAAGCTGATCCATAGGCAAAAGGTGAAAAAAGGATTATGAAAGGCTCTAAAGGAGAGCAGCTTATCACTTGCTGGCACTTTTAGTGTATAAGAAAAACAAAGCACCGTAGTATTGAAATATTGCCCAAGCTTAAAACAACCACAGTTCTAGAACACCAACACTTAAACAAGCAGTCTGGAACACATACTGAATTCCTTGGCAGGAACCCCACTGAGAAATCCACGCCTGGCACTCCCATTCCACAGCCATACTGGGCAGCTCCTACTGCAGGGATCATGGCCGGCACAAATGTTGTCTCTAGGATGAGGGGATCAGGTACATCTGTGAAAATGTAGAATTCCTCTTACTTGTGTCGTAAAGGCATGACAGTAAGAGTTAAAATGCAATAGTGCGACGATCCCTGGTGGTCTACTGGTTAGGATTCAGTGCTCTCAAAATGCAATAGCATATTGAGCACCTACTGTATTCATAATGTTCACAGCAACCATGTTTTTCTTCTATAGGTCTGACTTAGTACACTTTCATTCTCATTTATTAGGGGTGAATTGCTAGATGCAATGTACCATTTTCTCTTTATGTGAGGTTGTTCATGTCAAATACTAAAGGTATGACTACTACTACTATTAATGATGGCTTACTGTAGGCCGGGCTCAGTGGCTCACGCCTGCAATCCCAGCACTTTGGGAGGCTGAGGTGGGCGGATCACTTCAGGTCAGGAAATAGAGACCAGCCTGGCCAACATGATGAAACCCTGTCTCTACTAAAAATACAAAAATTAGCTGGGCATGGTGGCATGCTCCTGTAATCCCAGCTGCTTGGGAGGCTGAAGCAGGAGAATCACCGAACCTGGGAGACAGAGGTTGTAGTGAGTCGAGATCACATCACTGCACTCCAGCCTGGGCAACAGAGCGAGACTCCATCTCAATATAAATAAATAAATAAATAAAATAAAAATGATGGCTTGCATTTGTGAACACACACTTAGCACCAGGCTCTGGACAAGGGGCTTTACAGGCCTGATATCTTTTTTTGTTTTTTGAGACAGAGTCTCGCTGTGTCACCCAGGCTGGAGTGCAGTGGCAAGATCTCGGCTCACTGCAACCTCTGTTCCTGGGCTCAAATCATCCTCCCACCTCAGCCTTCTGAGTAGCTAGGACTACAGGCACACACTGTGCCTAATTTTTGTATTTTTGGTAGAGATTGGGTTTTGCCATGTTGCCTAGGCTGGTTGAACTCCTGGGCTCAAGTGATCAGCCCATTCAGGCCTGATATCTAGTCCTGACTACAACCCAGGAAGATGGGTACTATCAATCCCATTTTGCAGATGAGAAAACTGAGTCCCTTGCCTAAGTGCACCACGTCATTAAGTGTTGGCATTGGCAACTAAACTTACATTTTATTTTAAAGGGAGACTATTACTGTGGCCTACAGAAATGGGGAGGCTTCATGAAGGACACACTTCGCCTGCTTTGAAGGCAGGTTGGGATTTACCGCCTACCAGCTCTGTGACCTTGGGTGTCTTATTAAATGTTCCCGGGCTTCAATTTATATGTCTGTGAAATGTGGGTGATAATCCTTTCTTTCAAGGATTCTCAAGGGGGAGGGAATAAAGTGAGACACCTAAAGCTCTCAGCACAGTGCTAGGCTTGGGGCTGGAGCTCGAGCCCTTATACTTTTTCTTCCTCCAGGGGAGACTAGACCATACTGGTTTCTAGTGACTCTATCTGATAGAATGTAAACCTCATGAGAATTTGGTTTTTTTTCATTATTTTGTTTAGGTTGTATCCCCTGCACCAGAGTGGTGCCTAGCACATCATAGAGACTCAATCCATGCTTTTTGAATTGAGTTCTGTATTTCTGTGACTGTGATTCTGTGAGATGGGACTGGCAGTGGTTTCCTAGGTGCTGGTTGGAATGGGAGGTGGAAGGGATCCAGGAACAAAGCTTTGTGAGAAGGAAGGGAGAGATGTCCCAGTCAACAGTGCCCTGGGAGCTGGGCTGCATGGCTTGCCATGTTGATAATGTCTCATCCATTGCTGCCCAGCCTGGGAGGGCAGCTCAGGGGTTGCTAGAGATGCCCGTTGAGTGTACTGGGAGCACAGTCTGTGCACTGGGCTCCACCCCACCTCTCTCCTCCTCCTCCTTTCAAGCTCTCCTGGCCTCTGCTCAGCACCCCCACCCATCTGCACCGTGGCCAGGCTTAGAAAGAATCCTTCCTTGGTGCCAAGTATCAGCAGGGCTTTCTGAGGGTGTGAATTATTCCCCGACAAACCCAGCACCCATCTGTCCCCTTTAAAACACCTACCATTTGTTTATCTCATAATTCTGTGGGCTGGGCTCAGTGGGGGCGGTTCTTCCGCTGGCCTCTGCTGTGATCATTCATGTGCCTACAGTTGGCTTCCAGCCATCCTAGCTCGAGGCTTGTTGGTCAAGAGGATGGGAAGGCTCATCTTGGCTCTATATGTCTATCATCATGTAGTGGCCCAGACTGGGACTGTTATATGGGCTTGGAGGAGCTCCAAGAGCTACTAAAGACAATACAAGTCCCACTGTGTCTACATAATGTTTGCAAACATGCTATTGGCCAAAGCAAGTCACTTGGAGTCCAGAGTCAGAGTGAGAGGGCACTGAAAGTTACATGGCAGGGGTTGTGGGTACCAAGGGGAGAAATCCAAGGTTCCAAAGTACCTGGTAAAGCCCATATATTGCTCAGAATGTGTTTGGATACAAGTAACTGAACTCTGCCCAATTCAGCTAAAGAGAGAGAGAGAGGAAGGAAGGAAGGAAGGAAGGAAGGAAGGAAGGAAGGCAGGCAGGCAGGCAGGCAGGCAGGCAGGCAGGCAGGCAGGCATTTTACTGGCTTGCATGACTGAAGGTCCAGGGTGGAAGGAGCTTTAGGGGTGGCTGGGTGCTGAGTCTCAAACAATGCCGGCACTGCTGGCATCTCCCTAGGCCTGGAAGCTGCCCAGGGCACCTCCAAGCCAGGCCTGCACGGGGCTTCCTCCCAGTGAAGACATGGCTGCCCTGAGCCTTAATTGGAGAGATGATGCAGTGAGCCCGGGAGATTTTAAAGTGTGTATTTACAATCTGCTTGCTCCTTGAAGTGGCATGAAAACAAAAATCCAAGGAAAGCGCTCAGTGAGGGGATTTCCCTGGTGACCTGTGGCTAATGGCCTTTGCCTACCTCTTGCTCTGGAGAGGCCCTCCGAAGCCTGAATGGGGGTGGGAAGTGGCTTCCAGGGAAGAAGGGCCTTTCTGAGGTGGCTGTGCTCACAGGACGCAGCCTTTGAGAATCAGGATCAGAAGATGTAAGTAGCCCCCATAACTGGCACATTGGTAGTGGATGCTCTGGGAGGATGATGCTTTCCCTGTGGCTTTTTGCACTTTGGAAAGTGGAAAGAGATTAGTGCAGGAGTCAGCAAACCAGGGCACTGAGGCCATATCCATCCCACTGCCTGTTTTTGTATAGCCTGCAAACTGAGGATCTTTTAATTTCTTTTTTTTTTTTTTGAAACGGAGTCTCACTCTGTCACCCAGGCTGGAGTGCAGTGGCACAATCTCGGCTCACTACAACCTCTGCCTCCTGGGTTCAAGCAATTCTCTTGCCTCAGCCTCCCAAGTAGCTGGGATTACAGGTGCCTGCCACCATTCCTGCCTAGTTTTCTTGTAATTTTAGTATAGATGGGGTTTCACCATGTTGGCCAGGCTGGTTTCAAACTCCTGACCTCAAGTGATCCATCTGTCTCGGCCTCCCAAAGTGCTAGGATTACAGGCATGTGCCACCGCGCCCAGCCCAAACTGAGGATTTTTTAAAAAAACTTTTTAATGATTGAAAAGAATTTATGGAAATGTCTTTTCTCTTTTGTTATGTAGGTACTTACCTAATAGCCTTGATTCTGCCCCTTGGTCCATAAAACTTAGAATATTGTACCATCTGGACCTTTACAGAAAAAGGTTGCCAATCCCTGGTTTAAGAGAAGGGGTTTGTGAATACCTATCCAGTAGCATTTTGGATGCCTGGCCCATGGCTTCTGGGGTTTCCATGCCCTCCTGGGGGAGGCTGTGCAGAAAGCTGGGACAAGAGGAATGAGGCTGATACTACCCCGAATCCCACCACAGGGGTGGTCCCATGGCTCAGGTCTGGCCAATCAGAGTACCCTGTTCTTCTGGCCACAGTGATTGGTTCAGCAATAAGCAGGTGTCTCAAGCCTAGTCAATCAAAGTCCTCTTGGGGCTTTGGCCAGAGCTACTAGAAATGATACTTTTTCTGAGTTGGTAAGCTGGAAGGAAGCCATTTTTCAGAGGATGATTATCTTTGTATCTATGTGAGGAAAACCTTTCTGGAAAAGAAATTGCATATACCAGAAAGCAGACATGGAAGGAAGAAGGGAGGAAGAGAGAGAGAGAGAGAGAGATTGACACATTTGACATTGACAAGAGGCTGGATGAAGGTGTGTGTACTGCTGGTCATGAAGTGTCTTAATTCTAAGAGATGAAAGGGCCATTTTCGTCCACTGAAATAATAGGCATTATTTGTATGTATCTGTAGTGGCCAGTGACTGACTTCCCAGGAGAAATCGGCATCTCCAGGAGAGAAAAGTAGGGACTTCCTAGTAAAGAGTTCCCCAAGAACCAATAACAGTCACATGGCCCTACAGCAGAGGCATTTTAAGATGTCCGTTGGCTCTGGTTCCTTTTAGAAGCCTCTCCCACATTATATATCAAGTATCCAGTGTACCTATATCATATGTTTGTTAATGTAAATACATTTTAAAGAATTTTTAAACCTGGCACAGTGGCTTATGCCTGTAATCTCAGCACTTTGGGAGGCTGAGGCAGGGGATCACTTGAGGCCAGGAATTCAAGATCAGCCTGCACAACATAGTGATACCCCATCTCTACACAAAATAAAAAATTATCCAGGTGTGGTGACACATGTCTGTAGTCCCAGCTACTCGGGAGGCTGAGGTGGGAGGATCACTTGAACCCAGGAGTTCAGGGCTACAGTGAGTTATGATTGCATCACTGTGCCCCAGCCTGGGCAACAGTGAGACCCTGTCTCTAAAAAAATAAAATTTAGGGCCGGGCACGGTGGCTCACGCCTGTAATTCCAGCACTTTGGGAAGCCGAGGCAGGCGGATCACGAGGTCAGGAGATCGAGACCATCCTGGCTAACACGGTGAAACCCCGTCTCTACTAAAAATACAAAAAATTAGCCTGGTGAGGTGGCGGGCGCCTGTAGTCCCAGCTACTCGGGAGGCCGAGGCAGGAGAATGGCGTGAACCCCGGGGGGCAGAGCCTGCAGTGAGACGAGATCGCGCCACTGCACTCCAGCCTGGGCGACAGTGAGACTCCGTCTCAAAAATAAATAAATAAAATAAAATAAAATTTAATTTGAAAATTAAAAATAAAAAAATAATTTGTGGAATTTTGCTTTTGAACTTACTTGGCTATGAGTAGTAATTCCTTCACTGTATAATGCTATTGGCTGTGCTTTCTCATGCAAACTCAGGAGTTATTACAAAGTGAGGGAACCAACCCATAAATTGTGTTTAGATGTAATAAGATTTTAATGAAAACAAACTTAATGAACAAAGTGGACCTAGTGTTTTTTAGACATTTAATTAAGCATTTCTTCATTTCAATTTTGCATCTTTTTCTTTATTTCGAGCCAATGCCTTTTATTTTTTTCCTGGTCCTCAATGTGTTTGCAAGACCTGGAATTTGTGGCTATAGGCGTGTGTTTCCTGGTGGGTAATGCAGCCTTATCTGGACTGGTCGATCAGGAGGCTGGAGGCAGCACGAGCAGCGGCCCCAGGCTCCAAGAATCTTCATTCTCACAGGTCACATTGGCGATTTCTCTAGGGTGGAATAATCAGCTCAGCAGGGTCTGTGCTTAAGTTCGGAGGCCTGTGACTCACGTTGAAATCAGCACCTCCAGGTGAGGAAAGCCTGGGGTGGCTCAAAACCCAATAGGAGCCACTAACGAATCCAGGGGCAACCGTGACTATTTATGCTCCTGGCACACAAGTCACAAGATAAAAGCTCGGGGCCTCCCCTGGCATTGGAATCTCTCAGAGGTTTATTTGTTCATTCACGCATCAGTTTACTCAGCAAAGAGGAATCACGGAGTTGTTTTTCGTGCCCAACCTGGAGTGGAGGGAGGGGAAGAACAGATGGGACGTGAGGTTTGTCACCGTCACCTGGTCGGCTGGCTTCCTTGCACATTAACATTTTATATCTGGGCTCTCAGTAGCAGCGAGAATCCAACAACAGCATGGCACTGACCTGGTTCTGAGCGTCAAGGAGCCTCAGAGGCTTCTGCTTCTGGGTCCCACTTGGGCGTGGCCCTGTAGTGAACCCCTCAGGCCATTTGGGGGAAGAATGAGGAGGGACTTACACTGAAAGGGCACCTTCTGATCTCCAGGCACTGCATCTATGCTGTTGATTTGCTTCCTAACTTGTGCCTCAAGCAATTGCATCCCTTTTCCAGGTGAGGCAATGGAAGCTCCAGACAGGTGAAATACTTTACCCCAAGTCACACGGCAAGGAAGTGGTAGAGGCAGATTTGACTTCAGAGCAGCCGCACCCCAAACTCTGCACTGTTGGCTTCCATGCTCTTCTCCCTCCCTGAATTTTCAGGAGGGTTCAGAGTCTGTTGGTGGAATTTCTGGTATGCCTCAGATGTAGACTTGTTGCTCCTTTCAGATTAACTGTTTCTGTCCAAAGCCAAGAAGACAGAAGTGGTGGATGTGTCTATAGCTGCCTCGGGCCTCTAGTGCAGGGCAAAGATGCCCCTCAGAGGAGTCAGGTGAGGCTGAAATCGAGCCCACATGTCACCTACCTGTTGGTACGTGGTGTGGGAATTCGTCAGACTGACAGGAAAGGGTTGCTTGCCAGGCTCTGCACCCCTGAAGCCCCATCAACCCAGAGGGGTTCCTCTTAATAAATTGCACAAAAGCACCGCCTTGCTTTGGGTTTTCCTGGAAGCAGACTCCGAGGCAGATATTGCAGTGCAAATCCTTTTGTTTGGGAGGTGACTCCAGGAAGTACTGGTAAGAGAGTAGGGAAGTAAGACAGGGAGGGGAAGCAAAGCATTCACCGTGTGTTGCCATCGTGGACAACTAGACCACAGTCCCACTGGAGAGCCCTGGGGAACAGTAGGGAACATGCCCCTAAATTATCCCAGTGCCCCATCTTTGGTGATGGCTGCTTCCAGGGACTCCACGGCTTGCTCTTCACGCAGGCTGAGTGCACTCTCATGGCCAGAGTAATGCCCTCCTGAAGGATCAGGGTTGTGCCTGATGAACTGCTTGGGTGGCATGTGTGTGCTGATGAGCCGTGTTGGTTGCAGGTGTGAGCGGAGGTGATCTGGTCAGAATGGCAACAGCACCCATCCCACTACCCACAAGGTGAGCCTGACACCGTTACCAAGACTTCTGTCCTTCTGGATTCAACAGGCTCAAGAGATTGTCTGTGCCTCTTCTCCACTGTTTCATTAGCTGAGGTATGAATTTAGGCATCCACCTGTACCGTTGCCCTCCCAAAGGCTGACTTGCGATTGAAAACAAAACAAAACGCTTCTGAAAACAAAACAAAAACGCATTCTGCTCAAACACCATCCCAGGAAACCTCAGGACTTTATAATCAAGTCTGGGATCTGTTCCTAGCTCTGATGTGTGGCCATTTCCTTTGGCTTCTCTTCACTTTCTGCCTCTTTCTCTTCCTCCCCTTTGTCTTTAGAAGCCAATAAGGAAATCCACGTGTCCTGGCTTCTTGCCTTCCTGTTTTTATCCTGTAGACCTCCGGAGGGTTGTTTGGCAAGAGCAGGAGTGGCTGCCTTGGAACTGCACGAGGTTGGGTGGTGAGGCTTGGGAGGGGGCAGCCGCATGGGGTGGGGCTGCTTTGAAGCCATGTTTGTGTATGGTTTACTGATTGGGGGTGACGGGTGGAAACTACGGGGAGCCTCAAACCCCCCTTGGCATTGTCCCCAACAAAGCTGAATTCTTGCTATTGCTGAATCCCCAAGCCCCAGAACTCACAGCCCCGCCTCCATGGCCCTTCGTGGACCCCCTGGTTCCATGGTTTTGCTTGTTCTGGGGCTACATAGCAGACTTCAGTAAGAACTGGAGCAGGAGTTTGGCAGAGATGTCAAGAGTTGACTGAAATCAGAAACCTCCAGCACTAAATTGTGACTGTTTTAGTCTCTGTTCCTCTGACTAGACTGCTGCTGCTCCTTGGAGGCTTTCTGATGTGCCTTTCCAGTTACCCTTTACGATTTTTGCCTATAACACAAATAGCTCCGAAGGAGGCGCAGAACCCTGTTGCTTCATTTGGCACCAATGATCTAATGAGGTGGAAATCCCAGGGATGCTCTCAGGGGGCCGACGCAGTAATTGATATCAATTGGTGTGATTAGAGAAAGCCCTCAATCATCCCGAGGTGTCTCACTGCAATCTGTCATGGTCCTCATCAGATGAGCTTCGCCCTGAGCTTGTGCTGGAATGAGCACCGCTTTCCTGTATTCAGCCCAAAAGCCCAAATGTGGCCCGGCGTGGTGGCTCACACCTGTAATCCCAGCACTTTGGGAGGCAGAGGTGGGCAGATCACCTGAGGTCAGGAGTTCGAGACCAGCCTGGCCAACATGGCAAAACCCCGTTGCTACTAAAAATACAAAAATTAGCTGACGTGGTGGCATGCACCTGTAATCTCAGCTACTCCAGAGGCTGAGGCAGGAGAATTGCTTGAGCCTGGGAGGCAGAGGTTGCAGTGAGCCAAGATCACGCCATTGCTGATCTCAACCTGGGCGACAGAGCTGGTCTCTGTCTCCAAAAAAAAAAGAAAGGGCCTAACGTAAGCATGAGAGATACATATCTTACTGCCCTGCCCAAGAAGTGAGGACGTGCTTTTCCCACTTGCCTGGGAGGCGGCCTGGCTGAGAGGTCACAGGCCCAGGCTTAAAATCTGACTCCCTGGGCGGGAGTCTTTGCTATGCCTTTATAGGCTGGTGGCCTTGGAACAGTGACTTCACTCCTGGTGCCTCAGTTTCTTTATCTGTAACATATGGTGATAATAGTACTACATTTCTTTTTGGTAGAGACTGGATCTTAATGTTTTTCTCAGGCTGGTCTCAAACTCTGGGGCTCAAGCAATCCTCCTGCCTTGGCCTCCTGAGTAGCTGGGACTATAGCTGCATCACCCCACCCAGCTATCATATTACGTTATTAGCCCTCACACGATTGTTGGGAGGGTTAAATAATATGCGTAAAGTGCTTAGAAACATACCTAGTACATAGTATTTGTTAAGTAAATTCTCTTATTTTTTTCTTCTGCCCATTCCAGAAAGGCTCTGGGGAGTCTAACAGCCAGGACAGACAAAGAGCAGTAAAACAAATACTGAGGAACTCAAGAACCATGTGAGGTTGACACCTGAGGTATTACTTGGACTCTGTACTGCAAAGAACATTTATTCATTCAACAAGCATCTACTGAGTACCTCCGGTGTCCCAGGCACTGTGCTCGTGGCTGGGCTTACAGCTGTGACTTCATAGAGGTTAGATTTGAGTGTGTGCGTGTACACCTGGCATAGGTAAACAAGCAAGTCATTAAGATAATTTCAGAGTGATAAAGATGGTGAAGAAAATGAGCAGGACGAAGTGAAACGGAGGAGTGGGGTGGGGGCAACTCCAGGATGTGCGGTTGGGAAAGGCCTCTCTGAGGAGATGAGGGGACAAGAAAGAAGCAGCCCTGTGAGGCCCCAGGATGAGAACTTTCCACAGAGCGAGCAGCAAGTGCAAAGGCCCTGGGCTGCATGGGAGCTCAGAGAATCAGGAGGATAGCAAGGAGGCTGCCATGCTGGAGGAGAATGAGGGAAGAGAGTGCAGAGGCCAGTTTGGAGAGGCTGAATAAAGCCTGAGTGTGCGTGGTGCAGTGTTCAATTTTTATTTTTGAGGATTTATTTATGTATTTACTTGAGACAGAGGTCTTGCTCTGCCACCAGGCTAGAGGGCAGTGGTACCATCACGGCTCACTACCGCCTCGACCTCCCTGGGTGCAACTAATCCTTCCACCTTAGCCTCCTGAGTAACTGAGAACACAGGTGCATGCCATCTTGCTCTGCCAATTTTTGTATTTTTTGTAGAGATGGCTTTTTGCTATGTTGCCCAGGCTGGTCTTGAACTCCTGAAGTCAAGCAATCCGCCCACCTTGGCCTCCCACCATGCTGGGATTACAGGCGTGAGCCACCGCACCCGGTTTTTTGAGGACTTCAAACAGCAAACAACATAGTTTCCGTTACCAGTTAAAAAGTTTAGAAACCCAGCTGGGTGCGGTGGCTCACGCCTGTAATCCCAGCACTTTGGGAGGCCAAGGCGGGCGGATCACGAGGTCAGGAGACCGAAACCATCCTGGCTAACAAGGTGAAACCCTGTCTCTACTAAAAATACAAAAAAAATTAGCTGGGCATGGTGGTAAGCGCCTGTAGTCCCAGCTACTCGGGAGGCTGAGGCAGGAGAATGGCGTGAACCCGGGAGGCGGAGCTTGCAGTGAGCCGAGATCGCGCCACTGCACTCCAGCCTGGGCAACAGAGTGAGACGCCGTCTCAAAAAAAAAAACAAGTTTAGAAACCCAACTCAAGGTAGCTTAAACAAAAGGAGGGATATATTAAAGAACAGCAACAGTGTCTCAGGGAAGCCAGGGGGAGGAACAGAGCTGGGCTTGAAACTGGGAGGGCGATTTCTCCATCCCCATTGCCGGTTTTCTTTATACTGTTTGTGACCCAGTCCATGTTGTGGAACACAGCTGCCGACTACTCCTGAAATTTGTGAAATTGACTTCTGTAGTCTGGCATCTCAAGGGTGACTCATCTCTCAGTGCCAACACGCCTCAGGTAAGGACTCAGGAACTGGCTTGAGCCAGGAGTCCACTCCTGGACCAATCAGCTATGGCCAGGGTGGAATTGAGTCACACTCCACCTCCTAGTTGTTCTTAAGTAAGGATGGGGGCTGGGCACGGTGGCTCAGGCCTTCAATGCCAGCACTTTGGGAGTCCGAGGTGGGCGGATCACGTGAGATCAGGAGTTCGAGACCAGCCTGGCCAACGTGGTGAAACCCCTTCTCTAATAAAAATATAAAAATTAGCCGAGTGTGGTGGCAGGCGCCTGTAGTCCCAGCTACTCGGGAGGCTGAGGCAGGAGAATCACTTGAACCCAGGAGGCGAAGCTTGCAGAGAGCCGAGATCATGCCACTGCACTCCAGCCTGTGTGACGGAGTGAGATGTTGTCTCAAAAAAAAAAAAAAAAAAAAAGTAAGGATGGGGCTCTGGGCAGGGAGAAATAATTCTCAAAGAGGGGAATGAGGGAAGAGTAAACAAAGGATCTAAGTTGCCAGAAAACCAGAAACTAAAGAATGAATGTACCTAGAAGCAAGCTCAGAATTTAGCTCTGAGCTTTGTGGTAGCCAAAGCTTTAAAAAAAAGAAAAAAAAGGAAAGAAAGAAAACAACGAATAAGCATCTGAGTTCTGATTGGCTAATAAAATAAGGCACAGCAGATCACGAGGAGAGAGAAGCATTTTCTTCCATGAAAGCTGAGAGGACATTCTTTAGGTTTCTATGTGGAAGGGGACTAAGAAATACAATAAATGACTCATTCAGCAACAGTTGAATTTAGATTTCTGAGATGATTAAGTTTTTCACAATGTGTGGGGAGTCCCTCCTGGTGAATTCTGAAAGTAGAGGGGACATTATTAAATTTCAGTGCAAGGGTAGGCAGGGTGTGTTTGAGGGGGAACCAAAGTCATGCTCATTATGTTTTCTTTCGATGACCTCATTGGCTCTTGGAGACCTCAGTGCCGTGGTAAAAAACTCAGGGTTTACCTACAGGACTGGGGAGAGGGGTGTGGAGTGGGTTGGGTGTGAGGAAAACATCAGGATAAAGGGCAGCTGACAATCCATCTCTGTCAGCAGGGGGAACTTGAGAAATAGCTGCTCCTTGGTGGTAGCCAAGTGGTGCCTCTTGGGCCTAATGATATTCTACCAGGAACTGGAAAGTCTGGACTATTAAAACATGACTGTTGACAATGAATTTAAATTCCAAGAGCCAAACAAAACGTGGTGAGGGTGAATGTAGCCCTCGGCCATGGGCGTGCAGGCCCCACCCCTCTGGCGTTGCAAGGACTGGGTAGCCTGTGTTCATATGAGCTTCCTGGAACACAGATGGCTCTGCCAGGCTCTTGGCCAGAACTGGGCACAGTGAGAGCCCCAAGTGCAGAAATTCTGTGTCCTGTAGAGCCAAGAATGCCACACCTCTTACTCCTTTCCTTCTTTTTCTTTTTCTATTTTTTTTTTCCAGACAGGATCTCACTCTGGGGTGCAGTGCATGATCACAGCCCACTGCAGCCTGGACCTCCCAGGCTTAAGCGATCCTCCCACCTTAACCTCATGAGTAGCTGGGGCAACAGGCATGTGCCACCATGCCTGGCTAATATATATATATATATTTTTTGAGACAGAGTCTCCCTCTGTTGCCAGGCTAGAGTGCAGTGGTGCGATCCCAGCTCACTGCAACCTCTGCCTCCCGGGTTCAAGAGATTCCCCTGCCTCAGCCTCCTGAGTAGCTGGGAATACAGGCACATGCCACCATGCTTGGCTAATTTTTTGTATTTTTTAGTAGAGACGGGGTTTCACCATGTTGGCCAGGATGGTCTCGATCTCTTGACCTCGTGATCCGCCCACCTCGGCCTCCCAAAGTACTGAGATTACAGGTGTGAGCCACCACGCCCGGCCAAATTTTTAAAAAAATCTTTAGTAGAGATGAGGCCTCTCCCTATGTTGACCAAGCCAGTCTTGAACTCCGGAGCTCAAGCAATCCTCCCGTTTTGGCCTCCCAAAGTGCTGGGATTACAGGTGGCATGGGTGACAGCACCCTCCCTCCCTTCCTCCCTTCCTCCCTTCCTCTCTCTTTCTTCCTCCCTCCCTCCTTCCCTCCCTTCTCCTTTCTCCCTTCTCTCTCTCCTTCCTTCCTTCCTTCCTTCCTTCCTTCCTTCCTTCCTTCCTCCTTCCTTCCTTCCTGTTGGGCCCCAGGTATCCAATGATGAGTAAAACAGGCCCTCCATTCTCTCAGGGAGTTTACATTCCAGTTAGGGAGCCAGACTTTCACAACTAATTACACAGTGAAGTGGTTCATCCAAGTTGTAAGATGTGCCAGGAGGGGAGCCTGCCGAAAGCCACCTTAGAGTGCTTACAAGGGAATCTGATCAAGTCTATGTTTAGGAAAATTCCCCGAGGAAATGACTTAAGCCGAGATCTTAAGGAGAATAAGGGAGGGTTGTGATTCCAGACAAAGCAGGCTGCTGTGACTGCTGTGAATTGGGAAGGAACTTGTCACTTGTCACTTGTCACCGGAGGGCAGAGTTACCAGATGGGGCTGGGGACCGAGGAAGGAGCCAGGCAGATTTTGTTAGCCATGTTGAAGATTTAGAACTCAAGCAAACTTATCCAAAACTTAGAAATATGGCAGAAAGGAAGACTGCAGTTTCTTTCCACGTCGGCTTAGAGCATTATTTGCCAGGCCTGCCCAAGGATTAGTTAATTCTATATGGGAATTGTACCTTGGTTTGATTTTGCTATTTACTGATTGAACTTGATCTCTATTAAGTTACATGTAAATTTGTGAATAGCTGTCCTGTTGAGATGCAAATGGTTTATGTGTGATAGAGGAGGCAACCCTAAAGGTTTTGGCTTTATCACCCTGAAGGACATTAGTCATTTTTGTTCCTAACTTAAAAAATGAACAAATAAATTAAACTTTACATCAGTACCCCCTCTCTGGGGGACTGTAGAAACCCCTGTCATCAAATGCTTTTTGAAGCAGCTCTACCGTGCTGCTGGCTCTCTTATTAATCAGTTAAATATTTGACACATGCTTGTTCTATATATTAATCAGTTAAATATTTGACACATGCTTGTTCTATATTAGTTTCAAAGCCAGGTTTTTATCTTCTCAACATTATTCTTTGACGGAACTCTCTCCAAAGTGTGATGAAAGCTGGAGGGTTTTAAGCAGGCAGCTGCCACGATTAAATTTGCCAGTGGACGCCAATGTTAAGGTTCTTCTGTGAAAATTAAGAAATGCAGGCTTCTATTTTTACCTTCAAGTGGAGGCTTTACCTCTAGGGAAAAATAACTGGTTTGGTTGAGGACCAATCTTCTGTTGTTATCACCAAGTGTGGGTTTATTATAGGGTCTTTCTGCAAACATAGGGGCCTCTAATCATTGCAGTGTCCATTTTGTTAAGACTTAAAGCATCAGATGATAATTTATTGTAATGGGATCTAAACTAATGAACTCCACTTACAATTAAAATGTTTTAGAAAGCTTTCTTTTCTCCTGGGTCTCCCCAGGAGGCCCAGCTCTGACAAAAGTAGAACCACTCTGCTGTGGGATAGATTGCTCATCAGCTCTGTCAAGTGTCAGGAGATGGGCCATCTCTTTAAAGTGCTTAAAAAGGGGGAGGGGGGAAGCATCCATTTCTATAAATTATTGAATATGGATTTAAAATCACCTATTTGGAGAAGTGTTGAAATTGCACGTGCTAATTGAAGAGCCAGAGAAACAGCATTGGGACTGCAGCGAGGAGGCCAGTAATTGTTCCCGAGCTTTTGGTGGTCAGAATGAAGGTGACAGCACCCTGGGCAGCCACAGGATCTAAATGGAGTCCCAAGTAGAAAGGCAGCACTTCGTGCACCGGGAATTATGCTAGAGCCCGACCTCTCTGCTATCTCCTCTAATCCCTAAGGTATTGGCAAGGGGACCGTTGTTGCCTTCCTGCAGGTAGGAAACTGAGCCCCTCAGAGGTCGAGTGACTTGCCAGAGGTCACTCAGCTAGTAGGTGGCTGAGGTGACTTCTGAATCCAGGTGTTTCAGATTCAGTGTGTCAATATGCCTTTCTGTAATTTGCAGACATTCTTCACCTCAGTTGTCATTTTCTCAGTGTTTATGCTCCAATGATATCATTCAAACTGATATAGCAGAAAGAGCATGACCACCCCCCAACATGCCCCCAGAGAATTAATGCTCAGCTTTAGGCAATTGACAGATAATTGGGAAATTATGATCCTCATTTCTTCCCTCCCTGCCGGCCTCTCTTCCTTCTTTCATAATTCTGTTGAATACCTCCTTCAAGTTTTTGCTCAAGGCTGAGCGTGGTGGCTTACGCCTGTAATCCCAGCACTTTGGGAGTCGGAGGAGGGTGAGTCACTTCAGATTGGAAGTTCGAGACCAGCCTGGCCAACATGGTGAAACCCCGTCTCTACTAAAAATACAAAAATTAGCTGGGCGTGGTGGTGGGCATCTGTAGTCCCAGCTACTTGGGAGGCTGAGGCAGGAGAATCGCTTGAACCCAGGAGGGAGGTTGCAGTGAGCTGAGATAGTACCAAGGCATTTCAGCCTGGGTGACAGAGTGAGACTCCATCTCAAAAAAAAAAAAAAAAAAAAAAAAAGGTTTTGCTCAAATATCATCTATTCAGTAAAGCCTCCCATGGCCACCTTCCTTAAAATTGCAGCCTACATGAGCCCTCAACCCTCTTTTCTGTTACCCTATTCTATTGCTTTTCCCCCATATCATGTATCTTCTAATATGCTACATAATCTACTTATTTATTTTCTTATTATTTATTGTTTGTCTTCCTTTAACAGCATGGAGACACTAAGCAAGAATCTTCATCTATTTTGTTCACTAGTGTCTTTCCTTCTTTCCTTTCTTCCTTCCTTGCTCCCTCCCTCCCTCCTTCCTTCCTCCCTCCCCTCCCCTTCCTTCCTTCTTTCCTTCCTTCCTTCCTGCCTTCCTGCCTTCCTTCCTTGCTTCCTTCCTCTCTTTCTCTTTGCTTCTTCCTTTTCTTCTCTCTCTCTCTCTTTTCCTTTCCTTTCCTTTCCTTTCTTTCCCTTCCCTTCCCTACCCTTACCCTTCCTTCCTTCCTTCCTTCCTTCCTTCCTTCCTTCCTTCCTTCCTTCCTTCCTTCCTTCCTTTCTATTTTTGAGACTGGGTCTCAGTCTGTCACCCAGGTTGGAGTGCAGAGGTACAATCACAGCTCACTGCAGCCTCACCTTCCCAGGCCCAGGTAATCCTCCCATCTCAGCCTCCCAAGAAGCTGAGACAACAGGCACGTGTCACCATGCCTGGCTTTGTTGTATTTTTTGTAGAGACAGGATTTTGCTATGTTGCCCAGGCTGATCTTGAACTCCTGATCCAAGGCCTCGCAAAGTGCTGGGATTATAGGCGTGAGCCACTGCACTTAGCCCACTTTTGCATTTCAAGTGTTTAGAACAATGCCTAGAATGTAGTAGGTGCTTAATAAATATTTGTTGATTTATTGCATGAATGAATACCTGTTACTGGATTAGTTATAGTTTAACAAAAACCAACAAGCAACGTAAACTAGTACAATAGTTTCCTTTTATCCATGGTTTTGCTTTCGGAGATTTTAGTTACTTTCAATCGACTGCAGTCTGAAAACAGGTGACTACAGTAAAATAAGATATTTGAGATAGAAAGACCACATTCACATAACTTTTATTATAGCATATTGCTATAATCGTTTGATTTTATTATTATTTATTTTATTATTTATTTATTATTATTGTTGCTAATCTCTTACTGTGCCTAATTTATAAACTTAATCATAGGTATATATATATATAAGGGAAAGAACATAGTGTATATGCAGGGTTTAGAACTAACTGAAGTTAGGCCGGGCGCAGTGGCTCAAGTCTTTAATCCCAGCACTTTGGGAGGCCGAGGCAGATGGATCAAGAGGTCAGGAGATCGAGACCATCCTTGTTAACACGGTGAAACCCTGTCTCTACTAAAAATACAAAAAAAAAAAAAAAAAAAAAAGAACTAACTGAAGTTGGATGGGCACAGTGACGCACACCTGTAAACCCAGTACTTTGGGAGGCTGAGGCAGGTGGATACCTGAGGTCAGGAGTTTGAGACCAGCTTAGGCAACATGGTAAAACGCCATCTCTACTAAAAATACAAAAGTTAGCTGGGTGTGATGGCACACAGCTGTAATCCTATCTACGAGGCTGAGGCAGGAGAATCACTTGAACCTGGGAGGCGGAGGTTGCAGTGAGCCAAGATTGTGCCACTGCACTCCAGCCTGGGTGACAGAGTGAGACTCCGTCTCAAAAAAAAAAAAAAAAAAGAAAAGAAAAGAAAAGAAAAGAAAAGAAAAGAAAAAAGAACTATCTGAAGTTTCAGGCATGCACTGAGGGTCTTGGAACATATTCTCCTGGATAAGGGGGCACTGCTGTATTAATTGTACACACCTGTGTGTGAGGCATTGTTCTAAGGGTTTACCCATAGTCTCTTCTTTAATCTTCACAGTATAGCAACTATTATTACATTTTACAGATGAGGAAACTGAGGCCCAGGAAAGCAGAATAACTTGACCAAGGTTACATACCTAGTACTTTTAAAATCAGCTTTGGTGAGGTATAGCTTTCATATAATAAAATGCACTCATGTTCAAGCACAGTTTTGGCAAGTGGGTACACCTGTGGAATCCTCACCAAACTCAAGATATGTAGCCTTTCCATCCTCCAACAATTCCCTCCCCTCTGCCACTTAGCAGTCTGTCCCTTCCAGTACCCAGCAAATACTAACCTGGTTTCTGTCCTTCAATGTTTGGCTTTTCTAGAATGTTATATAAAGTGGAATCACACAGCATGCACTCATTTATGTTTGGCTCTTTTACTCAGCATAATTATTTGAAATTCATCCATATTTTTCTGTGGATCAATGGTCCATTCATTTTTATTGCTGAGTAGTATTCTATTATGTGGAATATATCACAGTTTGTTTATCCAGTGCCTTTTGATGGACATTTGGGTTGTTTCCAGTTTGGGGATATTGGGAATAAATCTGCTATGAGCATTCATATGTAAGTTTTGTGGGCACATATGTTTTTATTTCTCTTGGGTAAATACCTAGAAATGAAATTGCTGGATTTTGTTTAGCTGTATGTTTAACTTCATATGATTTTATGCACCTCTTATGATTTATGGCTTAGCTATTTGTATGGCACCCAGACGGTTTCAGGAATAATTGTAAATGGTTGAACCCCAGAGAATTTTCCTGTCTCACTGGGCCATCCTTTTACAATCCCCCCTGGAAGGGCTGGTATTAGATGGCAGAAGTAGCCTTGATGGGGTGGGAGGAGCAGGGTGGGGGTCATGGATCCGCCCATGTCTTGGGCGGGCATGTCTACCCTCTGGGGCCCAATCTCCTCAAATGGGGAGAGTTTAATGCAATGGTGTGCCAGTAAATGTTTAATAAATGCTGCTTCAGAAAAGCTACATATGCTCTTGCATATATTTTTAAGAAATTTTACTGAGTAAACAATTTGAGAATAATAAAATGTGCAAAAGTCTTTCTTATAAATTCCACACAGCCAGTTGATTTTCACAAAATACTTTTATAGACTTTGCTCAACTCCCATATCAGTAGCCAACCAATAGTTGCAAATCATGAGTGAGTGCAGTTTGGATACGAATGTTGGTTGATATTTTTGCTTATGTTAAAGAGTAAGAGGCCAGGCGCAGTGGCTCATACCTGTAATCCCAGTACTTTGGGAGGCCAAGGCAGGCAGATCACCTGAGGTCAGGAGTTTGAGACCAGCCTGGGCAACGTGGTGAAACCCCATCTCTGCGGTTCCAAGATGGCCGAATAGGAACAGCTCCAGTCTATAGCTCCCAGCATGAGCAACGCAGAAGACGGGTGATTTCTGCATTTCCAACTGAGGTACTGGGTTCATCTCACTGGGTCTCATTGGACAGTGGGGGCAGGACAGTGGGTGCAGCCCACTGAGTGTGAGCCAAAGCAGGGTGAGGCATCGCCTCACCCAGGAAGTGCAAGGGGTCAGGGAATTCCCTTTCCTAGCCAAGGGAAGGGGTTACAGACGGCACCTGGAAAATCGGGTCACTCTCACCCTAATACTGCACTTTTCCAATGGTCTCAGCAAATGGCACACCAGGAGATTATATCCCGCGCCTGGCTTGGAGGGTCCCACGCCCATGGAGCCTTGCTCATTGCTAGCACAGCAGTCTGAGTTCGAACTGCAAGGCGGCAGTGAGGCTTGGGGAGGGGCGCCCACTATTGCTGAGGCTTGAGTAGGTAAACAAAGTGGCCAGGAAGCTCGAACTGGGTGGAGCCCACCGCAGCTCAAGGAGGCCTGCCTGCCTCTGTAGACTCCACCTCTGGGGGCAGGGCATAGCCGAACAAAAGACAGCAGAAACCTCTGCAGACTTAAATGTCCCTGTCTGACAGGGACTTGAAGAGAGTAGTGGTTCTCCCAGCATGGAGTTTGAGATCTGAGAACGGACAGACTGCTTCCTCAAGTGGGTCCCTGACCTCTGAGTAGCCTGCAAGTAGCCTAACTGGGAGGCACACCGCAGTAGGGGCAGACTGACGCCTCACATGGCTGGGTACCCCTCTGAGATGAAGCTTCCAGAGGAATGATCAGGCAGCAACATTTGCTGTACAGCAATATGTGCTGTTCTGCAGGCTCCGCTGCTGATACCCAGGCAAACAGGGTCTGGAGTGGACCTCTAGCAAACTCCAACAGACCTGCAGCTGAGGGTCCTGACTGTTAGAAGGAAAACTAACAAACAGAAAGGACATCCACACCAAAACCCCATCTGTCGGTCACCATCATCAAAGTCCAAAAGTAGATAAAACCACAAAGATGGGGAAAAAACAGAGCAGAAAAGCTGAAAATTCTAAAAATCAGAGCACGTCTCCCCCTCCAAAGGAACACAGCTCCTCACCAGCAACGCAACAAAACTGGATGGACAATGACTTTGACGAGTTGAGAGAAGAAGTCTTCAGACACTCGAACTTCTCTGAGCTAAAGGAGGAAGCTCCAACCCAACGCAAAGAAGTTAAAAACCTTGGAAAAAGATTAGATGAATGGCTAACTAGAATAACCAGTGTGGAGAAGTCCTTAAATGACCTGATTGAGCTGAAAACCATGGCACGAGAACTACGTGACGAATGCACAAGCTTCAGTAGCCAATTTGATCAACTGGAAGAAAGGGTATCAGTGATTGAAGATCAAATGAATGAAATGAAGTGAGAACAGAAGTGTAGAGAAAAAAGAATAAAAAGAAATGAACAAAGCCTCCAAGAAATATGGGACTATGTGAAAAGACAACTCTACGTCTGATTGGTGTACCTGAAAGTGATGGGGAGAATGGAACCAAGTTGGAAAACACTCTTCAGGATATTATGCAGGAGAACTTCCCCAACCTAGCAAGGCAGGCCAACATTCAAATTAAGGAAATAGAGAGAACACCCCAAAGATACTCCTTGAGAAGAGCACCTCCAAGACACATAATCGTCAGATTCACCAAAGTTGAAATGAGGGAAAAAATGTTAAGGGCAGCCAGAGGGAAAGGTCAGGTTACCCAGAAAGGGAAACCCATCAGACTAACAGTGGATCTCTTGGCAGAAACTCTACAAGCCAGAAGAGAGTTGGGCCAATATTCAATATTCATAAAGAAAAGAATTTTCAACCCAGAATTTCATATCCAGCCAAACTAAGCTTCATAAGTGAAGGAGAAATAAAATCCTTTACAGACAAGCAAATGCTGAGAGATTTTGTCACCGCCAGGCCTGCCCTACAAGAGCTCCTGAAGGAAGCACTAAACATGGAAAGGAACAACCGGTACCAGCCACTGCAAAAACATGCCAAATTGTAAAGACCATCGATGCTAGGAAGAAACTGCATCAACTAACGAGCAAAATAACCAGCTAACATCATAATGAGAGGATCAAATTCACATATAACAATATTAACCTTAAATGTAAATGGGCTAAATCCTCCAATTAAAAGACACTGACTGGCAAATTGGATAAAGAGTCAAGACCCATCAGATTGCTGTATTCAGGAGACCCATCTCACATGCAGAGACACACATAGGCTCAAAATAAAGGGATGGAGGAAGATCTACCAAGCAAATGGAAAACAAAAAAAGGCAGGGGTTGCAATCCTAGTCTCTGATAAAACAGGCTTTAAACCAACAAAGATCAAAAGAGACAAAGAAGGCCATTACATAATGGTAAAGGGATCAATTCAACAAGAAGAGCTAACTATCTTAAATATATATGCACCCAATACAGGGACACCCACATTCATAAAGCAAGTCCTTAGAGACCTATAAAGAGACTTAGACTCACACACAATAATAATGGGAGAATTTAACACCCCACTGTCAACATTAGACAGATCAATGAGACAGAAAGTTAACAAGGATATCCAGGAATTGAACTCAGCTCTGCACCAAGCAGACCTAATAGACATCTACAGAACTCTCCACCCCAAATCAACAGAATATACATTCTTCTCAGCACCACATCGCACTTATTCCAAAATTGACCACATAGTTAGAAGTAAAGCACTCCTCAGCAAATGTAAAAGAACAGAAATTATAATCAACTGTCTCTCAGACCACAGTGCAATCAAACTAGAACTCATGATTAAGAAACTCACTCAAAACCGCTCAACTACATGGAAACTGAACAACCTGCTCCTGAGTGACTACTGGGTACATAACGAAATGAAGGCAGAAATAAAGATGTTCTTTGAAACCAATGAGAACAAAGACAACATACCAGAATCGCTGGGACACATTCAAAGCAGTGTGTAGAGGGAAATTTATAGCACTAAATGCCCACAAGAGAAAGCAGGAAAGATCTAAAATTGACACCCTAACATCACAATTAAAAGAACTAGAGAAGCAAGAGCAAACACATTCAAAAGCTAGCAGAAGGCAAGAAAGAACTAAGATCAGAGAAGAACTGAAGGAGATAGAGACACAAAAAAACCCTTCAGAAAATCAATGAATCCAGGATCTGGTTTTTTGAAAAGATCAACAAAATTGATAGACCACTAGCAAGACTAATAAAGAAGAAAAGAGAGAAGAATCAAATAGATGCAATAAAAAATGATAAAGGGGATATCACCACTGATCCCACAGAAATACAAACTACCATCAGAGAATACTATAAACACCTCTACACAAATAAATTAGAAAATCTAGAAGAAATGGATAAATTCCTGGTCACATACACCCTCCCGAGACTAAACCAGGAAGAAGTTGAATCCCTGAATAGACCAATAACAGGCTCTGAATTTGAGGCAATAATTAATAGCCTACCAACCAAAAAAAGTCCAGGACCAGACGGATTCACAGCCAAATTCTACCAGAGGTACAAGAAGGAGCTGGTACCGTTCCTTCTGAAACTATTCCAATCAATAGAAAAAGAGGGAATCCTCCCTAACTCATTTTATGAGGCCAGTATCATCCTGATACCAAAGGCTGGCAGAGACACAACAAAAAAAGAGAATTTTAGACCAATATCCCTGATGAAGATCGATGCAAAAATCCTCAATAAAATACTGGCAAACTGAATCCAGAAGTACCTCTAAAAGCTTATCCACCATGATGACGTGGGCTTCATCCCTGGGATGCAAGGCTGGTTCAACATACGCAAATCAATAAACGTAATCCAGCATATAAACAGAACCAAAGACAAAAACTGCATGATTATCTCAATAGATGCAGAAAAGACCTTTGACAAAATTCAACAGCCCTTCATGCTAAAAACTCTCAATAAATTAGGTATTGATGGGACATATCTCAAAATAATAAGAACTATTTATGACAAACCCACAGCCAATATCATACTGAATGGGCAAAAACTGGGAGCATTCCCTTTGAAAACTGGCACAAGACAGGGATGCCCTCTCTCACCACTCCTATTCAACATAGTGTTGGAAGTTCTGGCCAGGACAATCAGGCAGGAGAAAGAAATAAAGAGTATTCAGTTAGGAAAAGAGGAAGTCAAATTGTCCCTGTTTGCAGATGACGTGATTATATATTTAGAAAACCCCATCGTCTCAGCCCAAAATCTCCGTAAGCTGATAAGCAACTTTAGCAAAGTCTCAGGATACAAAATCAATGTGCAAAAATCACAAGCATTCTTATACACCAATAACAGACAGAAAGCCAAATCATGAGTGAACTCCCATTCACAATTGCTTCAAAGAGAAGAAAATACCTAGGAATCCAACTTCCAAGGGATGTGAAGGACCTCTTCAAGGAGAACTACAAACCACTGCTCAAGGAAATAAAAGAGGATACAAACAAATGGAAGAACATTCCATGCTCATGGGTAGGAAGAATCAATATCATGAAAATGGCCATACTACCCAAGGTAATTTATAGATTCAATGCCATCCCCATCAAGCTACCAATGACTTTCTTCACAGAATTGGAAAAAACTACTTTAAAGTTCATATGGAACCAAAAAAGAGCCCACATTTCCAAGACAATCCTAAGCCAAAAGAACAAAGCTGGAGGCATCACGCTACCTGACTTCAAACTATACTACAAGACTACAGTAACCAAAACAGCATGGTACTGGTACCAAAACAGAGATATAGACCAATGAAACAGAACAGAGCCCTCAGAAATAATACCACACATCTACAACCATCTGATCTTTGACAAACCTGACAAAAACAAGCAATGGGGAAAGGATTCCCTATTTAATAAATGGTGCTGGGAAAACTGGCTAGCCATATGTAGAAAGCTGAAACTGGATCCCTTCCTTACACCTTATACAAAAATTAATTCAAGATGGATCAAAGACTTAAATGTTAGACCTAAAACCATAAAAACCTTAGAAGAAAACCTAGGCGATACCATTCAGGACATAGGCATGGGCAAGGACTTCATGTCTAAAACACCAAAAGCAATGGCAACAAAAGCCAAAATTGACAAATGGGATCTAATTTACTAAGGAGCTTCTGCACAGCAAAGAAACTACCATCAGAGTGAACAGGCAACCTACAAAATGGGAGAAAATTTTTGCAATCTGCTCATCTGACAAAGGGCTAATATCCAGAATCTACAAAGAACTCAAACAAATTTACAAGAAAAACACAAACAACCCATCAATAAGTGGGCGAAGGGTATGAACAGACACTTCTCAAAAGAAGACATTTATGCAGCCAACAGACACATGAAAAAATGCTCATCATCACTGGCCATCAGAGAAATGCCAATTAAAACCACAATGAGATATCATCTCACACCAGTTAGAATGGCAATCATTAAAAAGTCAGGAAACAACAGGTGCTGGAGAGGATGTGGAGAAGTAGGAACACTTTTACACTGTTGGTGGGACTGTAAACTAGTTCAACCATTGTGGAAGACACTGTGGTGATTCCTCAAGGATCTAGAACTAGAAATACCATTTGACCCAGCCATCCCATTACTGGGTATATACCCAAAGGATTACAAATCATGCTGCTATAAAGACACATGAATACATATGTTTATTGCGGCACTATTCACAATAGCAAAGACTTGGAACCAACCCAAATGTCCATCAATGATAGACTGGATTAAGAAAATGTGGCACATATACACCATGGAATAGTATGCAGCCATAAAAAAGGATGAGTTCATGTCCTTTGTAGGGATATGGTTGAAGCTGGAAACCATCATTCTGAGCAAACTATCGCAAGGACAAAAAACCAAACACTGCATGTTCTCACTCATAGGTGGGAATTGAACAAGGAGAACACTTGGACGCAGGAAGGGGAACATCATACACCGGGGCCTGTTGTGGGGTGGGGGAAGGGGGGAGGGAAAGCATTAGGAGATATACCTAATATAAATGGCAAGTTAATGGGTGCAGCACACCAACATGGCACATGTATACATATGTAACAAACCTGCACATTGTGTACATGTACCCTAGAACTTAAAGTATAATAATAATAATAAAAGAAACCCCATCTCTACTAAAAATACAAAAATTTAGCTGAGTGTGGTGGTGGGAGCCTGTAATCCCAGCTACTCAGGAGGCTGAGGCAGAAGACTCACTTGAACCTGGGAAGTGCAGGTTGCAGTGAGCCGAGATCACATGCCATTGCACTCCAGCCTGGGGAATAAGAACGAAGCTTCGTCTCAAAAAAAAAAAAAAAAAAAAGAGTAAGATGACAGTGAAACAACAAAGAAATATGCATTTATCAATGGCATAGAGACTTCTTTGCTTAATTGGTTAATAGTTCTTCAGTATTGGAAGAGTATTTTCTAATTCTTTGTGCTATTCATAATGTAACAGCTGCATACACAAGACACTTGGTATCAACATTTTCTTTATCACTTTCCTAAGTCTAGACAGTTGACGATGGTAGCTTAACCTCTGATTCACAGTGTTTGCCACTGTCTGTGGTGTAAATGCTCCTACCTTGATGTGTGGTGTCACTGAATGTGGATGTGGGAAGAGATGCATAATAGCACACCATTATGTGGTGTATCCACTACAGATAACAGTAGATATAAATAATCTCAATCACACATAATAGTAAAATATAGCAAAATACTTAGGAAGGGATGGTTCGTAGTATTATTACCTTTATTTTTTATTTTTTTTTTCTTTTTTCACTTTAGTAAACTGGTCTATATTACCTTTATTTTTAACATACTTTGTTTAGTGAAGGTTTCTGTTATTTTTAATAATGGCTGTGTTTAATAAGCAGCTTGCAAAATTCCTGGAAATTTTCAAATCAGCTCTTGGGAGCATGTGAGCTGGCTGATGCACACCCCTGGTTTGATGAGATTCTTCCAGAGGCCCAACCCAGTGCCCACCTCCAGGCAAGATTTTCAAGAAGGGCCCACATTTCAGACCTTTCCTCTCTGAGTCACTGTCTCTCCCAGCCAGGGCCAGGTCAGCTTCGTCCCTAAAAGGAGCAGATGTCTAGCAGTGTGTTAGCTTCCTAGATTGTAATAATAAAATATCACACACTAGGTGGCTTAAACAACAGAATTTATGTCTCACAGTTCTGGAGACTGGAAGGCCAAGATCAAGTGTGAGCAGGTTTGTTTTTCTCTTCTCCTTTCGGCTTGCCTATGGCCACTTTCTTGCTGTGTCCTCTTGTGGCCTTTTCCCAGTGCAGGTGCTTCCCTGGTGTCTGTCCTTATTCTCATAAGGGCACAGTCCTATTAGATTAGGGTCCCACTCTCATGACCTCATTTACCTTTAATTATCTCTTTAAAGGCCCTATCTACAAATGCAGTCACATTGGGGGTTAGGGTTTTAACAGATGAGTTGGGGAGGGACACACTTTAATCCACAACACACTGTGGTGTTTCTACTTTGCTGCAGGAGAGAAAGAGAAGCAGAGAGGTCACGACGCAGAACTTGATTCTGGAGCCAGAGCTGGGGCATCTTTTCCTGGGGTCTCCAGGTTGTGATCATGGACAGAGGCTGGCAAGGGGAAGGTATGATGACAGAACTCAAGTTGTGCAAGGGGAGACATGAGAGTACCCTCAGTTCTTATGCTCCTGCCATTCCAGAACTCCATGACATTGGAGCAGTATCGCCCTGAATGGGCAATTGAGCATAGTGGTCAAAGCCGTGGACCCCAGAGCCAGGCTTCCTGGGCTTCAAGTCTCAGCATGCCATTTACTAGCTGTGTGACCTCAGGCAAGTTACTGACCCACTCTGTGCATCAGTGTTCCCACCTAAAGAATGAAAATATGCCAGTACCTCCCTCAAGGGTTGCTGTGAAGATTACATGAACAAAATGTATATACAAATATATAGGCATGCATATTTATAATTAGACTGGAGATCATTCTTTGTGCCTGGCACAATTGTAAGTGAAGTATAAGTGTTAGCTATTGCAGCTGCAATTATTATCTGTTTCCTTCTCTCAAGTGTGTGTCTTTGAGAAGATCAACTGCTTGTCTCCTATGTCTTTGAAAACCTCCAGTCCCAATTACTATATCTGAAACTTAATAGATGTCCAATAAATGTGTTGGATTAAATTGAATTAAAAATATGTACCAAAGGGTATCAGAGTGATTAAACAGCCAGGAAACAAGAATATTCATTCATACATGGAATCATCTAATGATTTAATCATTAATTGATTTAATGAATAATTGTTACAGCTTTATTGAAATATAATTCACACATCATACAATTCACCCATTGAAAATGTACAATTTAGTGGTTTTTTTTCTTTTTGAGACCGAGTCTCGCTCTGTCCCCAGGCTGGAGTGCAGTGGCGGGATCTCGGCTCACTGCAACCTCCACCTCCCGGGTTCAAGTGATTCTCCTGCCTCAGCCTCCCAAGTAGCTGGGACTACAGGCATGCACCACCATGCCCAGCTAATTTTTTGTGTATTTTTAGTAGAAACGGGGTGTCACCATTTTGGCCAGGATGGTCTTGATCTCTTGACTTCGTGATCTGCCCGCCTCAGCCTCCCAAAGTGCTGGGATTACAGGCATGAGCCACCGTGCCCGGCCCAATTCCATGGTTTTTTGTGTATTCACAGAGTTGTGAAAACATGATCACACAATGAATTTTAGAACATTGTCTCACCCTGAAAAGAAACTCCGCATTCATTAGCAGTCATTCTTCATTTCCCCCCAAATCCACCAGGCCTGGGCAAACACTGATCTACTTTCTGTCTGTATAGATTTGCCTATTCTGGATGTTTTTTGTAAGCGGGATTGTACTATATGTGTTTTTTAATGGGTGGCTTCTTTCATTTAGCGCAGTGTTTTCAAAGATCATCCATATTGTAGCATGTATTAGTAGAACAAATAACTTTTAAACGTCTGCTGCACACCATGAGATAAACCAGAGAGAACCTGTGTAAAATGCTTATAGTCTAGAACACACGTGTACACAAAGAACTGTCCGTGATTGTTCAGAGCAGCTTAGTCAAAAAATTAGAAGCAGCCCTAATGTCCATGAACTGTGAATGGAAAAGCAAATTGTGGTACATTCATACAATAGAATACTACTGGGGAATATCAACGAAGAAAATACTAATAGCCCCCAACATGAATGAATCTCAGAATCAGTATGTTAACTTCAAGAAGTCAAACACAAAAGACAAAAGATGCTGTGTGGTTCCAGATATATGAAATTCTAAAAAAGGTGAAGCGATGTTGACAGAAAGGCTAGTGGTTGCCCCTGGGGCTGGGGCACCAGAGGAGGGGCTCAGCTGCAGAGGGGCCTGGGGGAACTTCTAAGGTGACGGAGCTGCTCTCTATACAGGCGATTATACCGATGTATACAATTACCAAAATCCATCAAACTATATAGTTAAAATGGATAGATTTTACTGTATATCAGTCAAAAAAATAAAAACATAGGTTTTTGCACTAGCACTACAGGCATGCGCCACCACACCGGGCTAATTTTTTATTTTTTTTTGTAGAGATGGGGTCTCACTGTGTTGCCCAGGCTGGTCTTGAATTCCTGGGCTCAAACAATCCTCCCACCTGAGCCTCTCAAATTGCTGGGATTACAGGTGTGAGCTGCCATGCCCCACAAAAACATACTTTTTGTGCTCCTGTTTATTAACTGGTACTTACTAAAAGCCAAATACTCCTAGAACTTTGTAGTATTATCCCTTTTAATTCCCACATCAACTAAGGTAGATGCTGTCTGTTATTGACTAAATTGTGTCTTCCCACAAAATTCAAATGTTGTAGCCCTAACTCTCAATGTGATGGTATTTAGAGACGGGGCTTTTGGGAGGTCATTAGGATTACATGAGGTCGTGGGGTAAGGCCTTGGTGATGGGATTAGTGCCTGTAGAAGAAGATGAAGAACTCTCTCTCCGTCTCTCTGTACATGCACTAAGGAAAGGCCATGTGAGGACACAGTGAGAAGGCCTCCTGTCTGCAGTCAGGAGGAAAACCATCACCAGAACCTGACCACGCTGGAACCCTGGTCTTGGACTTTCAGCCTCTAGGACTGTGAGAAAATACAGTTAATGCTTGAACAATTCAGAGGTTGGGACACTGACCCCCCATGTAGTAAAAAATCTATGTATAGCTTGAGACTCCCCAGAAACTTAACTCCTAATAGCCTACTGTTTACAGGAAGCCTTACCAATAACATAAATGGTCGATTGACACATATTTTATATGTTACATGTATTATATTCTATATTCTTACAATAAAGTAAGCTAGAGAAAAGAAAATGTTATTAAGAAAATCATGGCCAGGTGTGGTGGCTCACCTAAGGTCAGGAGTTCAAGACCAGCCTGACCAACATGGAGGAACCCCATCTCTACTAAAAATACAAAATTAGCCAGGTGTGGTGGCACATGCCTGTAATCCCAGCTACTCGGGAGGCTGAGGCAGGAGAATCGCTTGAACCCTGGAGGTGGAGGTTGTGGTGAGCTGAGATTGCGCCATTGCACTCCAGCCTGGGCAACTACAGCGAAACTGCGTCTCAAAAAAAAAGAAAAGAAAATATATTTACTATTCATTAAGTGGAAGTGGATCATCATGAAGGTCTTCATCCTCATCATCTTCATGTTGAGTAGGCTGAGGAGGAGGAAGAAGAGGAGGGCTTGGTCTTGCTGTCTCAGGGGTGGTAAGACAAAAGAAAATCCATGTGTAAGTGGACTCATGCACTTCAAACCCATGTTGTTCAAGGGTCAACTGTAGATTATTGTTGTGGTTTTTTTTGTTTTTTTTGTTTTTTGTTTTGGGACAGGGTCTTTCTCTGTTGCCCAGGCTAGAATGCAGTGGCATAATCATGGCTTGCTGCAGCCTTGACCTGCTGGGCATAAGCAATCCTCCCACCTCAGCTCCTGAGTAGCTGGGACCACAGGCATGCGCCACAACACCTGGCTGATTTTTAAAATGTTTTGTAGAGATGGGGTCTCGCTATGTTGCCCAGGCTGGTCTTGAAATCCTGAGCTCAAGTGATCCTCCCACCTTGGCCTCCCAAAGTATAGGGTTATAGGCAAGAGCCACTGTGCCCGGCTGGTTACTGTTGTTTAAGTCACCTGGATTATAGTATTTTGTTATGGCAGCCCACACTGACTAAGGCACTATCATAATTCCCATTTTACCAAAGTGGGAATTTAAGCATGGAGAGATTGCCCTTTTGTCAAGCATGTCTGGAATCCATTCAGACTTTGAATAATTGTTTCTTAATTTCCCCCCACCCCAAAACCACTCCTCTCCCCATATTCAGCAAATGCCCCTAGGAGGTGGTGCTATCTCCAACTGAGATTTAAAGCTCATCACTTGGTCGAAGCCGATCAGCTCATCATGATCCTCTGACCCCAAGGATTGGTTCAGGGCTGGGCAGTGGCCCCATTCGTGCCACTAAAACATAATACAACTTCTGCTGGGACTGCTGGAACTGCGGCACTTTCCTGATAGACAGGAATCTAGGAGGATGTAGGGCAGGAGCTGCAGCAGCTATGTTGCCACCATGCAGGGAAAACCCCTCTAAGGTGGAGCCGACCCTCTGGAAGTAGAGCTATTAGAGATGGAGAGGGAGAAAACAGGTTTGAGCCCCTATGTCAAACTGACCTGAAGTTAGGGTATCCCTGGACTCTTCAATTATACATGCCATTAGCCTCACCCCTCCCCCTGCACCCTCCTTTTTTTGCTTAAGCCAAAAAGATGTACTCAAGGTTGTCGCACAGCTGGTATTTACTCAGGGACACCATATTCAAGCCAAAGTTGATTCTACTGTGCTCACTCTTTTAGGTATTTAGCTCTAGGGGAGAAGGAAGAAAGAAGGATGTTGTATAAAAGGAGAGCAACTTTGGAAGATCTATTCAGATTTTGAATAGTTGTTTCTTAATTTCCCCCCACCACAACCCTACTCCTCTCCCCGCTGTCAGCAGATGTCCCTAGGAGGTGGTGCTATCTCCAGCTCAGATTTAAAGCTCATCACTTGGTCCAAGCCAACTGCAGCTTTGGGAAACTAAAGCAAGGATGTTGGAGTCATCCTATGTGTGTCGGAAGCATGGTCCGTCCTTATGGGTGGCATCTGTGGCTAAATTACTTGATCCTTTGGAGTCTCAGTTTCTTCCTCTATATAATGGGGATAACAATGCATCCATCCCTGTGGACCGTTGTGCGGTTTAAGCAAGACAATAAGTAAAAAATATTCAGTGCAGCATCTAGGAAATGCTCAAAAACAGTAACTATTTTATTGCCCAAAAATATTTACACGGTGACCCGTGAACTCCCTGGGCCACCCAGTAGTGGATTAGGTTATCTAATCATGCTGTAAATACTTTGTCTTGTCTTGTTTTGTTTTTGAATGTTTTGAATTGTTGTAATGATTTTAATACCACTGGGCTCCTCTGTGGACGCTTAGACTTGAAGGGCAGCAGGGATGAAAGAGCAGTATCATCCATGCCCCTATCTTTCCTTGAAAGTCAGTTCCTCCTAAACACTGCTGTTGGATTTGTCTTGCTCTTTTTTTTTTTTTTTTTTTTTTTTTTTTTGAGATGGAGTCTTGCTCTGTCGCCCAGGCTGGAGTGCAGTGGCGCAATCTCGGCTCACTGCAAGCTCTGCCTCCCAAGTTCAGGCCATTCTCCTGCCTCAGCCTCCCGAGTAGCTGGGACTACAGGCACCCGCCACCGCGCCCAGCTAATTTTTTGTATTTTTAATAGAGATGGGGTTTCACTGTGGTCTCGATCTCCTGACCTTGTGATCCGCCCACCTCGGCCTCCCAAAGTGCTGGGATTACAGTCGTGAGCCACCACGCCCAGCCCTGTCTTGCTCTTTATTCCTCATGATGCATAGGATGTTGGGAGGAGTAAATTAGTTAATTCATGTAAAGTGCTTAGCTTGGGGGTGGCAGGTTTTAGCAACTAAGTGCGGCCCTGTGCTAAGAATTTGACATTCTTTCCTTTATTCCTCTTACCTTCTCAATGAGGCAGGCATTACTGTTTGCCCATTTTGCAGATAAGAAAACCGAGGCTTGGAGAGTTAAGGAGGTTGATCAAGGTCCTCACACAGCAAGGAAATAACCAAGCTAGGACTGAGCCTTTTGCTTCCAAAACCTGGCTGTGCTCTCTTCGACCAGACAGAATGCTTGCAGGAAGTCTAATGGCCACATGTCCCCCAGATGCATATGCAAAAATGTGGTCATCACAGCTACGCTGTTACCTGCGTTCTCAGATTGATCCCCAGGCTAAAAGTCAGTTTTACTTAATGAAAGGTACCAAAAAGGAGGATGCAACCTCCCCCTCATCCTTTCTGGGTAGAATTAACTTGGTTTTCCCAGATCTCCTGGTTTCCCAAGACAAGCCAGAAATCTGCATTCTTTATGAACACTCCATATTTCCCGGGACAGATATTTAGCAGAGTGTCTTCCCATCCTTATGCACTGGATGGGAACTTCAAATGAATGTGTGTGGAACAGTGAGTCTAATGGCAGAACCTGGGGTGCCTTTGGAGCAGACCTCCTTTTGGAGCTCACTGGTGTTGTGAACCAATGCTGGGGAAGTGAATGTCAGGGCATGTTTCTAAGGGTGACCCTGATAGATAGAAACAAGCACCTCCCCTTCCCAGGGAAGGAATTTTAACCCGCAGCATGTAGAACCCCTTCAGCCATCCAACAGTGGTTTATTTCAGCCTGCAGACTTCAGAGAGGAGTGCGCCAAGGTCAGGTCATCCCCAGGAGAGGCCTGCAGCTGAACAAGGTCATGGCCAGGAGATATTTGCTTGTGATTTAGTTATCACAGGGTGAGGCCCACACAGTCCCAACTGTCACAGTGTTCTTGGCAGCCCGACACCAGCCAACAGAGAACAGACGACAGATGAGGGTGGCATGAAGAGCTGTTGCTCTGGGACGCCCACGGCATGCCTGGCCTTTGCAGGCCATGCCTCTGCCCCTCAACTTATCTGACAACGGCTTTCCAGATGAGGAAACTGAGTCACTAGAGGCAAAGTGACCTCCTCTGGTTCATACAGCTAGTACGTGGCAGAAGTGGAATTTTTAACCTAGGTTGATCTGGCTCCCAGTTAATGCTAAGGGATTCATTGACCACAAGAAATAGAAATGTCCTTTGGGCAGGACTGTTGTAGCTCCTCATAAGGAAGAAATACAGTTGCAGGTTACAAACTGCAGATTTATAGTCCAATCCCACCTGCAGAAATGTTTTGTTTGGCCTAAAGAAAGTTTAAAAAAATGTTTAAATTCATTATCAACTTTTAAAACTATGGAGTGTTCATAAAGAATGCAGATTTCTGGCTAGTCTTGGGAAACCAGGAGATCTGGGAAAAGCCAGCTGGAGCTGAGGGTGACAGCCTCCTTTAGAAGAGACACAGCCGGGCGCAGTGGCTCACCCCCGTAATTCCAGCACTTTGGGAGGCCTAGGCAAGCGGATCACGAGGTCAGGAGTTCGAGACCAGCCTGGCCAACATGGTGAAACCCCGTCTCTACTAAAAAATACAAAAAATTAGCCGGACGTGGTGGTGTGTGCCTGTAATCACAGCTACTCAGGGAGCTGAGGGAGGAGAATCGCTTGAACCTGGGAGGTGGAGGTTGCATTGAGCCAAGATCACAGCATTGCACTCTAGCCTGGGCAATAGAGTTAGACTCCATCTCAATAAATAAATAAATAAATAAATAAATAAATAAATAAATAAATAAATAAAAGGTACATGAGCCCCCTAGAGTGACAAAGCCCCCATCAACTTGGGGCCCTGTTCAGTGGGAAGTAAGATGACCCCAAGGCTGCAGAAGGAGGCTGGATTACAGCCAAGGGGAGTCCTTGGACACCAATAGTTAAGGGTACCAGCCTCTCAGATCTTCAGTGTGTTTGCTAGGGCTTCTATAGCAAAGTACCATAGACTGGGTGGCTCACACAACAGAAATGCACTTCCTTGCAGTTCTGCCAGCAAGAAGTCCAAGATCGAGGTGTGAGCAGGATTGGTTTCTTGGCCTCTCTCTTTGGCTTGCCTTCTTCCTGTGTCTTCACAGGAAGGCCTTTCACAGGAGGTCTTTCCTCCGTGTCTGTGTCCAAATCTCCTTATAAGGACACCAGTCAGACTAGATTAGGGCCCACCCTAATTACCTCATTTTACTTTAAGTACTTCTTTAAAGACCCTTTCTCCAAATACAGTCACATTCTGAGGTACTGGCAGTTAAGGACTTCAAGATATAAATCTTAGGGGTACATAATTCAACCCTTAACAATCAGTTACTGATTGTCTTCCCATAGGGGTAGAGCCAGTTTTGTAGGATCAGAAGCAGTTTTGGAGGAATTCTTTATAGGAATTCTTTATAAAAATTCTTTATTATAAAAAAGTGCAATTATGCATGTAAAATTAGGTATAGGGAGCAGAGCTGTTGGTGCCCCACCCATATTCCAGAGATTCTAGCACTTCAGCATGTCCCAGACACTTCAGCTGCCAGGATCACCAGCCTTTTGTCCATAAAAGTACTGGGGAGGCCGGGCACGGTGGCTCACGCCTGTAATCCCAGAACTTTGGGAGGCCGAGGCAGGCGGATCACGAGGTCAGGAGATTGAGACCAGCCTGGCTAACATGGTGAAACCCCGTCTCTACTAAAACTACAAAAAATTAGCTGGCCTTGATGGTGGGCGCCTGTAGTCTCAGCTACTAGGGAGGCTGAGGCAGGAGAATGGTGTGAACCCGGGAGGTGGAGCTTGCGGTGAGCCGAGATCATGCCACTGCACTCCAGCCTGGGTGACAAAGTGAGACTCAGTCTCAAAAAAAAAAAAAAAAAAGTGCTTGGGAATGACTGCTACTCCCTGTTCTTGCCCTGCAGAAGCCCTCAGCCAATGACTCCTTGGGATCATTCTGAGGTGTGTGTTCTCTCCTGTGTCTTAACCATGTCTTTTATTTTCTGTATTTCTGATGCTTTGACATCTGAGATCTTGCTGACACTGGAGGGACTGCCCTTTCCAGGGCTAGCCAATTCCTAGAGAGGGTAAGCAACTCAACCCAACCAGCCCGTCCAGAGCCCATACTCCCAACCACCTTTACTGAGCTCTGCCCAGCCACTATCTACCTGGCCCAATCAATCTCCCTGGGGCCAGGGACCAGACAACTAGGGACAGCCCCTATACCCCAGAGCCTGCTGAATTATTCAAACTAGCCAACCCTGCCTTGGCCGATCATTCTCATGGAGACCCAATAAAGGCTATGGCTCATGCTTTCCTCCTGCTCTTTCTGCCTCCTGACCCACCCCAGTGCTTCCCTATGGGGCCCCTTGTGGCATGGCGGGTCCCCTCCCGTTGGGAGGTATAACAAGATAACTTTCAATGACAGTGATCCCCTGAGCTGTTGGCTTTGCCATAGCTAAATAATAATAAAACCTACATTTTAAAACACGCCGTCTCCCAAAGGCCCTCATGGGATAAGCTCCCGTTGCCCACAGTGGGAGCTGCCTGGATAACGCAGCCTTTGTTGGCCGTCTGCCCTTCCTGTTCTCATTTCCCCACTTCCCTGCCAGTGTTTCCTGTGCCTCCCAAATAAGCCAACCATATTCCTATCCTTGCCCCAGGGGCTGCTTCCAGAGGAACAAAATTAAGTCAGCACAAAAGTGAATATTTATTTTAAATACAGAGAGGAAATGAAAATGGAGACAGTGGACTTAATGGATGGCCATTGAGGTATCTTATATGGGCAAATTCTACAAAACCATGTGACCACACATGCACATACTGTGAGGGCTTTTGGAAGGGGTCCAGGTCTTGATGCAGGATAAATCTGCCTCTACCTCCCTGCCTAGGGTGCAGGCTCCGTGGGTACCAGGACAGTGCCCAGTGCAGGGGCTAACACATAGTAGTTGCTCCATAAATAATAGTTTAATAGGATAGGTGCAGTGGCTCATGCCTGTAATCCCTGGACTTTGGGAGGCCGAGGTGGAAGGGTCACTCAAGTCCAGGAGTTTGAGACCAGCCTAGGCAACATAGCAAGGTGCTGTCTCTACAAAAAGTTCTTAAAAAATTAGCCAGATGTGGTAACATGTGCCTGTAGTCCCATCTACTTGGGAGGCTGAGGTAGGAGGATTGTGTGTGTCCAGGAGTTCAAGCTGTAGTGAGCTATGATTGCACCACTGTGCTGGCCAACAGAGTAAGACTCTGTCTCTAAAACAATAATAATAATAGCTTAATAAATGAACAGTGTAACAAGGATATGCCAATTAGGCAGAGAAGACTCTGATGTACTCTCCTCTCTCCTGGGTGGTGCTTGGGTAGACATCCTTTGAATTCCCTTTTTGATGATCAAGTCTCCATTAGATGGACACAATTTTTTTCTGTAAATGCACTAATATCTTTATTCTCACAGACCTGGGAGCCAGGATATGTCTTTAGAACCACTTTGCAATTTGCTGATCTGATCCATTGTGTACTGACTGTGGTTTATCTCCCAGATGGCAACTCTATCTCCATTATTTCTAAGTTCCTTGTTGGGTAGGTGGGACATCATGACCCCTACACAAGGAGCCAGGCATGGTATTGACTAACATATGATGTGTAACTGCGCAGCCTGCATGGTTGGAAGCTTCTCCACTCCCTAGCAGAATCTGATTTTGGGCAAGTTACTTAGACTCCCTGCCCCTCAGTTTTCTCAGCTATAAAATGGGGATAATGACAGTACCACCTTTCAGATTAGTGGGAAAATTCAATGAGATAAGGCATTCAAGCCCTTAGCACAATGTCTGATGATAGCTAGTGCTTAGTACATGAAGACTGTTTATGGGAAATGTAATGCTATGCCCAAAGACTGTTAATTCTATAAGGCTAAGTTTTTCTGTTGCAATCCACAGGCCTAGGGCAGCATGGAGTTAATTCTAAAACAGACTTTTTATTAGTCTCTGGGAGCTTGTGAAGTACAGATAGGGAATGCTCTAACGTGAACAAGGCACCATAAATGATGTGCTTTGTTTCCTGTAGGGGTGGTTTCCTAGTGACTCTCAGGGAGCCAGGTCCCTCTTGCCTAAACAGTGGGGCTTCCTGAGGGAAACAGCCCTCCTGTGGTGGGTCAGTCAAGAAGGAATTGCTGGCCCATGGAATGTTGTTTACCACCAACGGCTTTTGGCAACACAGAGGGGGATAAACTTAATGGATGAACTGCAGAAGCAGAGAGGCAGAGAGCATGAGTGAGCACTCCTGGCAAGCTTCATACAAGGAGGGTGCAATCTATAGAAAACAAGATTTACTGAGATGACAAACGTGTGTGAGGTAAAGAAACAAAAAGAGAAAGTGCGTGGAGTGAATATGAAGAAGGAAGGAGCAAAAGAAAGAAGTACAGGAGAAAGGCACATGAATCTAGGAGGGTCTGTCCTAAGGACAGCAGAAGCTGGAAGCGGAGTAAATAACAGAATTGACAGGCATACTTATCATTAGTCTCCATGCCTATGTCTGTGGCAGGCATCACCAGTCAATCACAGCAATCCTCCAGCTGGCCTCAGAAATAGCCTCAGAATCCTCCTCAATCCAGTGATCCAGGTTATCACTACTAAACCACCATGTTGGTGTTTGAGTTGAAACCTTCCTCTTGTTTGGGTTATAAGCTCTTGCCAAACATTTAGGAAGAAAACTTGGACCAGAAAAGCAGATCAAGGCAATGAGGACACAAGAGCAGTAAGGAAGGGGGCGTTCGGACTGCCACATTCCTGGCTGAAGGGCAGAAGGAGTGGGCCCTTTGCAGTCTCAGAGACTGGAGCTCTGTCTCCAACCCTGTTCCACTTATCAGACAGTCCCATTTCCCTGACAGTAAAATAGGGAGATGAAGGGGCTGGATTGAAGCCATAGCCTCAGAGTTGAGTATAGGAGATCCTTGGAGATGGAACATAGAGAGAAAAAAGGCTTATTCTAGTCATCTCTAGCAGTGGCTTGAAATAGTAGGTGCTCAATAAAAAATCATCGAAAGAATTGAGCAAGGAATGTGCAGGGCTGGAAAAGAATATTGATTCACCACTGGTGGGAGCGATGTACCCTTTTGGAAGGATGCCGTGGACCTATATATAAGCTTAAAAATGTGGAGAACTTTTGACCTTTATTTCTAGGAATTTATCCTAGGGAGAATTGCTTGACCCTGATAGGTGGAGGTTGCAGTGAGCCGAGATTGCCCCACTGCACTCCAGCCTGGGCAAAAGAGCGACACTCCATCTCAAAAAAAAAAAAAAAAAAAAAAATTCTCCGCCTGAAGTGTGTTTTTTATGCTTATAACAAGCAAAGGGTCAGACTTTTGCTGAGGACAGGTAAAATCAAAATGCGCATGCTCCCTACAGGGGAGATTCCCAACTGGAGGGAGCTTTGCTTGAATGAGCTTGACTACAGTGAGGATGCTGGGGCTTATTGTGTTGACCGTAGGTCCCCACTGTTGCTGTGTCCTGAGGACATGGTTACTTCCTTGACTACCTAACCTGCTTCAGGTGAAGACCACACAGCCGTTAAAAATGATGCTGCCTAGAAATGTTTAATGACAGGGGACTACATTTATGTCATTAGTGAATAGAAAAAAGTTATTAAAAAAGCAAGTACTTACTGAAAAAAATTAAATATATTTATGCACAGTAAAAACAATTGGAAGTATATGGGCCAAAATGTTAAAAAATATTTATCTGAAGGTAGTTGTATGATAGGTGGTGTTTAGTTTTTCCTCCTACTTTTCTATGTTTAAAACATTTTTTCACAATAAGCAAATTAGTTTTGTAATAATTAGAAGGTTTAAGAATAATTGACAAGCTGGGCATCGTGGTGTGCACCTGTAGTCCCAGCTGCTCCGAAGGCTGAAGTGGAAAGATCATTTCAGCCCAGGAGTTCGAGGCTGCAGTAAGCTGTGATTGCACCACTGCACTCCAGCCTGGGCAACAGAGCAAGACCCTGTCTCTAAATAAATACATACTTTTTTTATTTTTTATTTTTATTTTTAAATTTACAGCAACACCAGCCTGAAAATTAATTTTTTAATTAAAAAAAAGATCGACAGGCATTTATACTTGGTCATTTTTACACAGAGACATGCCCTTATACACATGGTATATGTGACTTTAGATATCTGAACTCTTTTGGCTACTTTAATCATGATGTGCAATTAGCTAATGTTTAATAGGCATGAACACTTAGTATGTAAATGCCAGGCACTGTGTGAAGCTTGCTTCATGTTTGCCTCATTTAACTCTCACAGCAGCACTGGGAGGGAGGTTCTGCTGCCCTCTCCGTTTTAGGTATGAGGAAACCGAGGCACAGGGCATAAGTTACCCACTCCTCCCACCCCCCTCCCCTGGCTGCTGAGGGCTGAGAGCTGAGGCAGACAGGCTATCTCCAAAACTCACACTGTCAACTTTCTGTTGCTGCCTCCAGAATCTTAGCAGGAAATTGTCAACATTCTAAGATTGAACCAAGGGGGATTAAGTAATCACGTTTGCAGTAATTTTGAGAGCCCAAAATTAAATTCACATTTTTGTGTACGTGTGTGAGTTCTTGTCAGGAAAGAAAATGATAGAATTAAAGTATCATGAGAAGATTCCTTTTTATAATGAAGCCTTCCTCGCCTGCTTTCTGTTACCCAGGCTGACACATTACAGCAATAAAAAGTGCCTGAAAAGGCTGTGCCTCATGGTATATCAGCTTGGAAAGGATGAGAGATAGTGCACTGAAAGCCCCTTGCTTTAGTCAGCTGTTTTCCTTGTCCTGCATACAGGTCTTCGAAGTTGCCCGCTGCATTGGAGAACCACTGAGAGTCATATATATTTATTGTTTCTGAATGGCATCTGTAGTTTCAATGTCCCAGCAGAGCGTTTTAAGGAAATTGGGCCTTCAGGGTGGACAGATGGAGGGGAACCTTCTCCGGCCATCCTAGCTGACCCCTGTAATCACTCATTTCCCTTTGAACAAACCAGAGCTGTCCCTGAGAGAAGAAAACTGTTTAGCACCCTTTTTGGGGCAGCCCTTTCTGGCAACTGGGGTTTCTTTTGTTTGTTTGTTTCATGTTTTTGGAGACAGAGTCCCACTCTGTCACCCAGGCTGGAGTGCAGTGGCATGATCTTGGCTCACTGCAACCTCCGCCTCCTGGGTTGAAGCGATTCTTGTGCCTCAGCCTCCTGAGTAGCTGGGACTACAGGCATGTGCCACCACACCTGGCTAATTTTTGTATTTTTAGTAGAGACAGGGTTTGGCCATGTTGCCCAGGCTGGTCTCAAGCTTGTGAGCTCAAGCAATCTGCCCACCTCCGCCTCCCAAAGTGCTGAGATTACAGGCATGAGCCACCACACCTGGCCTGGGGTTTCTTTAAGCAAGGGTGAAGGCCCCAGGGACACCCTTCATACACCAGGGCTGTGTTTGGGAACTGGGAAAAGTATAGCCACGGACTTGCCAGGGGGAGGGTTTCAGACCCAGAAGGAAGGACGAAGGAAGGAGGGAAGAACAGGGACTTGGAGTCCTGACTTTGACCCTCACTTAGCCATGCAGTCTTGGACAAGGGACTTCACTTCTCCCAGCTGCAGTTTCTTCATCTGTGAAGGGGCAGAAATCTGTGCCTCCTAGGTTTCCTCCCCTCTCCCTTCCTTCCTTTCCTGTCCTTCCTTCTTTATCTCCCTCTCTTTCTTGCTTTTAGGAATGAGTAAAACAGGATATATAAATGTGTCAGATGCTTGGCACAGAGGGGATGCTCAGCAAAGACCAGTGAAGCAGTATCTGTTTGTGGTTACCGCTGACAGCTCTGGAATCCAACAAAAACAAAACGTGGTAAAAATGGCTGCAAACGCTTTGATCCTTCTCCCATTGAGAGGCCAGTGTCCTGTCTCCTTCAATCTGGCCAGGCTCTGACAGCCTCGAGGTGTTGCTTTGCTAGACTGTGGATGCGGGCCTGAGGCGGTCCCCACTTGCTCTCCCCTGGGCCCCTCTCTGCAGCCCTGAGCTGCCCTGTGAAAAGGTTAACTACCCTGAGACTGCTGTAGGAGATCACCCCTGGGCACTGCAGGCAACAGTCCCAGCTGGGCTGCCCACCCTGCCACCCCCTGCCATGGCACCAGCCCCGTGAGAGGAGCTGTCTTGGATCCTTCAACTGAGCCCCTCTGCCCGCTGAAGACCACAAATGACCTGGGTGACCCTCCGTAGAGCTGATCCCTTCCCAAGTGGTCATTGTTTTAAACCATGAAGTTTTGGGGTAATTTGTGACACAGCAATAGATACTTGGAACACCAGGGTTTGAGTTATTCCTTTACCAATAGCTAACTAGTTGTTTGATCTTTAAAGATTACCACTGGATGCTCTACTCTCCTCACCTTTAAATGGGGACAAGAATAGTCCCCACCCTCTAGGATCTTAGCAAAGTTTAAATGAGGTAACTTGGCCAGGCACGGTGGCTCACGCCTGTACCCCAGAGCTTTGGGGAGGCCAAGGTGGGAGGATCACTTGAGCCTAGGAGTTTGAGACCAGCCTGAGCAACATAGTGAGACCCCCATCTCTACAAAAAATTTAAAAATTAGCCAGACGTGGTGGTGCATGCCTGTAGTCCCAGCTACTCAGGAGGCTGAGGCTGGAGGATCACTTGAGCCTGGGAGGTTGAGGCTGCAGAGAGCTACGATTACACCACTGTACTCCGGCCTGGGTGACAGAGTAAGACCCTGTCTCAAAAAATAATAATAATAAATAAAAAAAAGAAATTCCAGCAAAGTGCTTGAGGCAGGGCCTCGTACACATGAGCACTTGAAAGTGCTAACTATGACTGCTATCATTCCTCTCCTAGACTTTGCCAGCAGGATAATGAAAGAGCAAAAGGAAGGAAGCACTCAGACCACGTACACTGGGGGGCAGTGGGCCCTGGGCAATGCTCTCTGTTTCCCAATGAATAGAATTATCTTAATCATACTTAATCCTGTTCTCATGAGGGTGTTTAAAATTGGAAGGGTAATCTATTAGATTTCCTCTGAAAAAAGTTGCCCTAGTGAACCTGTGGGGCTGGCAAGGGAGTTAAGAGCCTCTTCTCCGTCTGCACGTCATGCCCCGCCCTTCTCTCCTGGAAGATGTTAGTGCAGGTGGATCAGGCTGTTTGCACAGCCTCCTTCTTGTTTTCCCTTTCTCCTTTTGCTTCACAGGCTTTTCTTCGCCCAGTGGTGGGGCAGCCAGGCCTGCGCCGAGGGAAACACTTGGGCTGCTGATCTCCTGGCTGCTGGTGGAGCCCATGGGAAATTTGCTCAGTCAGCAGGCTGGTACCTCACCATTCCCAGCTGTGCCTGCGTTCCACAGCCCTTGGCCCCCGCAACGACTCCAGGCTCCCCTTGGCTTCCTTTTATACTGATTGCAAGTCTTAGAGACTGGAGGTGTTACATCAGGCTGCTGAGCTGTTTGTTTTCTAGGAGAGGCTGGGGCCTGTGATGTGGAGAGCCTGGGACTGAGGTGGAGGCAACAGCAGAATAATGTAAAGAACAACTGTGAGCTTTGGGGTCATTCATTCATTAATTCAGCAAATACACCTGAGCACCCACCAAGTACCAGGCACTAGGCCAGGCACCAAGCTAGAAAATTTGGGTTTGATGCCCGATTCCTCAACTTAAAAGTTATATCCAACATCCATCCAGCAGAATGGCTAAAACAAAAAGGTAGACAATCCTGAGTTCCTTTTTTTTTTGAGATGGGAGTCTTGCTCTTTTGCCGAGGCTGGAGTGCAGTGGGGTGATCTCGGCTCACTGCAACCTCTGCTTCCCCGGTTCAAGTGATTCTCCTGCCTCAGCCTCCCAAGTAGCTGGGATTACAGGCACATGCTACCATGCCTGGCTGATTTTTGTGTTGTTAGTAGAGACATGGTTTCACCATGTTGGTCAGGCTGGTCTTGAACTCCTGACCTCGTGATCCTCCCATCTTGGCCTCCCAACGTGCTGGGATTACAGGCCTGAGCCACCGCGCCCGGCCTCAATCCCAAATTCTAAGGAGGCAAATAAGCAATTGGGATTCTCAGATGCTGCTGATGGGAGTGTAAATTGGACTACCACCTTTGGAAAGCAGAATCTCCTAAAGCTGAACATATGTTTCCCTTCTAAATGCATGAGAAGAAATGCCTGAGAAGGTTCATAGCTGTGTCTTTTGTAGGAGCCACCAACTGGGAACAACCCATAGGCCCAACAGCTCCAGAACGGGCATCCACACCACAGAATTCATGCTGCAACGAGAATGAATAAGACGAGTGCTACGCGCAACAACACTGGTGACTGTCGCAAACACCATGTTGCAGGAAGGACATTACGGATAAGAGAGTAAACATGGTATGATTCCATAGATGTGGATTTTAAAACAGGCAAAGTGAGTGGACGGTGTAAGTGAGGGCGGTAGTCACCCTTGGGAATTAAGGGGTGGGAGGGCGCAGGAGAGGGGCTGGCAGGGACGTCCTGTTTCTTGGTTGGAGGCTGGAAGGGACGTCTTGTTTCTTGGTTGAGATACTGGTTACACGATGTGTTCACTTGGTGAAATCCATCCAGCTGTTTCCTGACAATGTGTATATTTTTCTGGGGTGCACTTTAATAAAAGGTTGGAAAAATGTTATCCGTCTGTGGCCATACCACCCAGAACGCACTCGATCTCATCTTATCTCCAAAGCTAAGCATGGTTGGCCTGGTTAGTACTTGGATGGGAGAAAACTGTTATCCTACCTTGACCAAATGGCTTTCCCTCTTTAAGCTTGGTTTCCTCTTCTACAAAATATGGATAATGTTGCCTTGGTCATAGGGCTAAGGTTATATAGAGGTTTAATTAATATGAACACTGTCATGAACTACCTAAAACAGGTTAGGTGCTTCATAAATTTTGACTATTGGCCAAGCACGGTGGCTCGTGCCTATAATCCCAGCACTTTGGCAGGCCGAGGCAGACAAATCACTTGAGGCCAAGAGTTCAAGACCAGCCTGGGCAACATGGTAAGACTCTGTCTTTACAAAAATAAAAATAAATGACTCTTATTATGATTTTTATTACTAATAATATCTTTTTCATAGACTTACATGTCTCTGAATGCCTAAGGTGTTTTTTAAAAAAAAAAAAAAAACTGGGGAAAATGCCATTATTATTCAAGTGAGAAAGAAAAAAACACCCCTAAAAAAGGCTACTCTGTGGGTTGAAATTATTTTGCTGAAAATAGCTCCCTCTTTTGAAAATGCTCATTTTTTATGCTCCCCAAATCCCTTTTCCTATATGTGCTCTGTGGCTGAAATTTTGGGGAGAGAATGTCACACCGCTTGGAAGAAATGTCCCCCGTCCTTTCTCCACACATTTAGAGAACGTGACTAAGGATGGATTTTTCAATTCCTCAGGAGCTGAAAACATGTTGCAATAGAGTTTATACCTCTCAGCCCAGATTTTCCTCCACTTTTTATGGAGCTGTGTGTCATGAAAAGGTTTAGTGGTTCACCCATGCCCTTCCACGGCCTGAATGCGATTTCCAGCCCCTGGAGAAATTCCCCATGCTTCACGGCTGGAAGCAAAGCTTTTGCACTCTGGATATCACATTACATCAACTTAGAAAGTGTAATCCTGGAATTAGCCATTGGCCGCTGAAAAACAGACACAGCTAGTCACAGCTGAGGGAGGAGAAAGGCCTCAGAAGGAAGCCTGGGCTCCAGATCAAGGGGAGGCCCAAAGGATCAGCAGTGAGGGACCTCAGTCCTCCCTGTAAAGGGCTGGCTGATGCTGGCTGGTCCCAGGCATTTCCCTCACCCTCTGCGAGACAGGCCTGTCTGCCCACAGGCACAGGGTCTGCGGGTCCAGGATAGAGATGCCTAAGGGTCCTGCTGATGCACTTGGGCAGACTTGACTTCAATGTCCAGGCAAGTCTGATGTGATGTATCACAGAAATGGTGGCTGCCTCTCTGCCACATCACTGGCTCACTCTTCCTTAAAAGGATGGGATTCAGACCGGGCACAGTGGCTCACACCTGTAATCCCAACACTTTGGGAGGCCGAGGCGGGTGGATCACCTGAGGTCAGGAGTTGGAGACCAGCCTGACCAACACGGTGAAACCATGTCTCTACTAAAAATGCAAAAATTAGCCAGGCGTGGTGGTACGTGCCTGTAATCCCAGCTACTCGGGAGGCTGAGGCAGGAGAATCGCTTGAACCTGGGAGGCGGAGGTTGCAGTGAGCTGACATCGCACCATTGCACTCCAGTCTGGGCGACAGAGCGAGAAGCTGTCTCAAAAAAAAAAAAAAAAAAGATGCGATTCAAGTCAGCCTTACCTAAATGACCTCAAGCAATTGCTGTACTGAACTCCCTCCATCCCCCAGCCTCCTGTGTTTTCCCTCATCGAAGAGAGGGAACAATTATCACAGATTCCCCCTCCTTGGGCTTATGGGGCAGTGAGAAACCAGAATTTTGTGGAGGTCACAGCATTCCTGGAGGAGAATTTAATAGCATGAATTGAAAGTCTTTAAGAAGTATAACCCTTCTTATCTTAGGAATTGATCCTAAGGAATTTTGACTAATGTGCAAATGTATTTATTTATATTTTAGTTCATTAAATATTTGGTAAGTGCTTGGTAAGTAACTGAGACTTAACAGGTGGTAGGCACCATGTAAGATGTCCCATGCATTATCTGGCAGGCTGCTCAGGGTGACCCCATGAGATGCCATGTCACCATCTCCATTTTACAGACAGAGAAACTGAAGCCTTCCAAGGTTAATTCACTGCTCACAGCCCAGAGCTAATTGCAGGCAGAGCTGGGTTTGCACCTGGTGCCTCTGAATCGACAGCATAAACTCCGGATCATTTCTAACCTGTTTCGTTGCATAGGCTCTGTGCAAAGGGTGGGCTTAGGCAGGCACAGCCTTGATCTCTCAGAGCGTTCTGCATTCCAAAGGAGACCAACACTGAACAAAATCTACATGTGTGGTTACTTAAGGAAACACGCAGGGCGCCACAGGAACATGCGACTTGGATGTTCCTGAAATTGTCAATTACCAGTCTGTAAGAAAGGAAATAACCGGCCGGGCGCGGTGGCTCACGCCTGTAATCCCAGCACTTTGGGAGGCCGAGGCGGGCAGATCACAAGGTCAGGAGATCAAGACCAGCCTGGCTAACAGGTGAAAACCCGTCTCTACTAAAAATACAAAAAATTAACCAGGCATGGTGGCGGGAGCTTGTAGTCCCAGCTACTCAGGAGGCTGAGGCAGGACAGTGGCGTGAACCTGGGAGGCGGAGCTTGCAGTGAGCTGAGATTGTGCCACTGCATTCCAGCCCAGGTGACAGAGCAAGACTGTGTCTCAAAAAAAAAAAAAAAAAAAAAAGAAAGGAAATAACCAAAATGTCTGACAATTAGGGTTTGGCTAAATAAATTATGTAAGTCCACACTTTGGAATAGTGAGCAGCATTAAAATAAACATCACAGGGCTGTGTTTATTGACATGGAAAGATGTTCCTGTCACATTTAAGGGAAAAGGGTGATTACAATAAAAAAATTCTGTGTGTGTGTTTGTGTGTGTGTGTGTAGGCATAGAAACGACACATTACAAGTTTTCTCTGGGTTTGGGGATTATTTATAGATAGTTTTTTCTTTCCATCTCTCTGACCTTTCTGATTTAGGGGGGTAATTAGCATGTATTCCATGTCTAATTGGAATAACCAGCTATTTCCATTTGAGGGGAAAATAGCTGCTGCCTTTTGAGGCACACAGATGGCTGGGACAGAAGACCCTAGCTCCTTGTTCTTATGAAAGGTAAAGGAATCACTTATAGATGATGAAGGCTGGTCCGTGTTCTGTAGAACCGAGGTCCTCAAGTGCAGGCCATAGATCTGCATTCGAATCACCCAGGGCTGCTGGTTAAAATGTAGCTTCCTGGGCTCCACCCTGATATCACTAACAACTCACATTTACTGAGCATTTGTTATTATTATTGTTGTTGTTTAGATGGAGTCTCGTTCTGTTGCCCAGGCTGGAGTGCAGTGGCGCGATCTTGGCTCACTGCTAGCTCCACCTCCTGGGTTCACGCCATTCTCCTGCCTCAGCCTCACCAAGTAGCTGGGACTACAGGTGCCCGGAACCACGCCTGGCTAATTTTTTGTATTTTTAGTAGAGACGGGGTTTCACCATGTTAGTCAGGATGGTCTCGATCTCTGACCTCATGATCCACCCGCCTCGGCCTCCCAAAGTGCTGGGATTACAGATGTGAGCCAATGCGCCTGGCCTACTGAGCATTTTTTATGGACTAGCCATTGTTCTAAGTGCTTGACACTTACTAACTCATGTAATCCTCATGAATCCTAAGGTATATACATAATTATACCCATTTCACTGATGAGAAAGCTGAGGCACAGACTGTTTGACCAGCATGCCCCAGTGAGAGAGCTGGTGGCCGGTAGAGGGGATGCCAGTCCTTGTTCTCAGCTGCAAGTCTGAACTCAAATCACTACCCTGAGAGGGCGGGGTCTTAGGAATCTGGAGTTCTAACCAGCTCTTCAGGTGGTCCACGCACACACTGAAGTGAAGTAGCACCACTTTAAAGAATCTTTTCCTCTCAGAACCACTTTCAGTGCTTTGGTAAGAAGCAGTGGCTGGGCGTGGTGGCTGACGCTTGTAATCCCAGCACTTTGGGAGGCCGAGGCGGGCAGATCACTTGAGGCCAGGAGTTCGAGACCAGTATCTACAAAAAAAATACAAAAATTAGCTGGAAGTGGTGTCGCACGCCTGTAGTTCAAGCTACTTGGGAGGCTGAGGCAAGAGAATCGCTTGAACTCGGGAGGCAGAGGTTGAAGTGAGCAGAGATCATGCCATGCACTCCAGCCTGGGTGACACAGTGAGACTCCGTCTCAAAAAAAAAAAAAAAGTAGCGGATCCATTTTACTCAACATCTGCTACGAAAAAACTGTCTTCTTGAAGTCATTAGAACAAAAATATATCTGAGATTCTCAGCCGTGGTTAAGTCATCATGTGTAAAAAGTGGACGGGGACCAGGCACAGTGGCGCATGCCTGTAATCCCAGCACTTTGGGAGGCCAAGGTGAAAGGATTGCTTGAGCTCAGGAATTCGAGATCAGCCTAGGCAACATAGTGAGACCTCATCTCTACAAGAGAGAAAAAATAATAGCTGGGCATGGTGGCATGCACTTGTAATCCCAGCTACTCCAGAGGCTGAGGTGTAAGGATTGCTTGAGCCCAGGAGGTCAAGGCTTCAGTGAGCTGTGATCGCACCACTGCACTCCAGCCTTGGCAACAGAGTGAGACCCTGTCTCAAGAAAAAAAAAAAGTTGAATGGGCTGTGCCAACTCACTAGCCTAATTATTCCTCCTCTTCTTCCCTTCTTTGGAAAATTTCTTTCAGGCAAACTTTTATTCAGAATCCAACTTGTAAAATGTTAAAAAGTGGTGCTGCTCTATCTGAAGTTGGGAGGTGGGGGTAGATGTGTGTGCAGGGTTCCATAGGCCCCTGAAGATCTCCTTTCTGTTTCCAAAGGCTGAAGGGCTTTGGAAACAGTTTGAAAGGTGGGGACAGTTGAGGAGAGGAGGCCATGACTGCCCAAGGCCACCCAGCTAGCTGGTTTCAGTCTCAGGACCAGACCCTGCTGCCCATCTCCAACTAAAGACTAACACAAATTGCTTTACAAGGTTGACCTGCTGTGTAAAGATACCCACTGGTGGCCAGGCGCAGTGGCTCATGCCTGTAATCCCAGCACTTTGGGAGGCCAAGGTGGGCAGATCACTAGGTTAAGAGATCGAGACCATCCTGGCCAACATGGTGAAACCCTGTCTCTACTAAAAAATACAAAAATTAGCTGGGTGTGGTGATGCGTGCCTGTAGTCCCAGCTACTTGGGAGGCTGAGGCAAGAGAATCGCTTGAATCCGGGAGGTGGAGGTTGCAGTGAGCTGAGATCACACCACTGCACTCCAGTCTGGCGAAAGAGTGTGACTCCTTCTCCAAAAAAAAAAAAAAAAAGAAAAGAAAAGATACCCACTGGCCCAAAGGGTAGCTTGGCAGAGTTACTATGTTGAAATATTGCCTTGCAGGTGCCCTACCCTGGGTGGCACAATTCCATGGGCCCTGTTTCCATCATGTGCCATGGAGTTGGCTTTAGGGGGTTGCTACGCATATACATTACAGATAGATATATGGTGGCTTCTAAAGTGACGAAGGTCCAAGAACCCACGGAAGTTCCTTGATTTTGGAATTAAGGTGAAGTCGGGCCCTTGAAGGAGCAGATTAGTCAGCCTCCAGCATGAAAGTGACAGCCTGTGAGCACAAGTCTTCCAACCTGAGGTGGCAAACCACAACAGTGACCCTTCCAATTAGCACATGTGTCCTGGGCCTAGCTCTGGAAGCTGTCATGGTGGACATGAGATGGGAGTATGGGTGGCATGGAACCCAAAGAAAGAGAACTGGGAGATTTGGTCTCTGTGCTTGGGGCTGGAGAATGGGGCCTGAGGACCCTAGTCGAATGGAAGTGTGAGACTGTGGATCATGACTGGATGCTGGAGCGTGCTTCCTGGCCTATTCACAACATCACCTTTGATGCACCCAAGCCCTCTGAGGCAGGTACGACTCAGTGTGTATTTTTTCCATTTTGCAGATTAGGAGATTGAAGCTCAGAGACTTGTTGGAGCTCACAGCGGCACTGGGACATTTGGACCAAGAGCTTTTCTCCCTTCCGAGTCAGTGCATGATGCCAGAGAACATCCCTGGGTGAGGTTCGAAGAGAGTGGCCTGAGAGACTTTTCTATCTGGGGAGTGTGAGGTCCATATTTCCTGCAGGGCTTCCCCACTTACAGTGTCTCTCAGCCTCACTGATGACCTGCACCTGGCTGGGAGTTCTTTTGGTCCCTTCCCTACCTCAAGACCTGATTTGACTGCTCCAATTTACACAGGGAGGGAAGGAATTAAGAAGAAAAGAAAACACTCCTAAACATGAAAGAAATCACAGTCTTTCTCCGGAACTAAAGGCTTTTACAGGAGTGCAGGGGGAAAAAAATCTGATCATTCTTGGCAGCTTTTGAACAAATTAGGGTGTTGGAAGAATGGATGAAAGACTGAGGGGTATGTTGGAGTGTGGAACAGTTGCACAGTCCTAATGAAACAGAGCAGGCTTCCCCAGTGAGTGCCTGTCCCCTGCTACGTCTGTGAAGTCAGGGGTAACATTGGAGTCTAATGCTGGGAAACAGCCATTGCCCTTTCAAGCTCAGCTTGAACCACATTTCCTCAGGGACTCTTCTTGATTCCTACACTAGGCTGGCCGGTTTATTTATGTGGTCTTCGTGTCCCCTGCACTTGACCTTTGTAACCCACATTGTTCTTGTAATTCTTTGTCCGGTACCTGTCTCCCTGTTTTGACTGTGAACTCCATAAGGGCACAGGCTTGTCTACCTTGTTTGCCACTTGTACTCCTTAGGAATCTTTTAGGTACAATAAACAGAAGATACAAACCAAGGTGAACTAGCAAAAAGGAACTTTTTTTCTGCCCAAGGGTAGAGTTAGCTTCAGCCTAGGTTGGATTTAGGGGTTCTGAATTAGCCAGCCAGATTTGATCTCTTTCCCTCTCTTGGATCCACTTCATTTTTCTCTTTGTGTTGGCTTTATTCTCAGGGTTCCCATGGTGCTGTTATGGCTGTCCTGTTTCTTACCCTAGATGCTTTCAGGAAAGACTAAGATCCTTTTCCTGGTGAGTACAGCAAAATTCCCAAGACTAACTCTGATTGGCTTGGCTTGAGTAATATGTCCATCCTGAACCAATCACCATAGCCCAGACAGCATGGTGCCCTGATTGACCAGTGTAGCACACATGGATCATTGTTTACCCAAAAGCTATCCCCTCTTCTTCCTTGATAACAAGAACCCATCAGGTATCTTTTTGTTTGTTTTTTTTTTTTTTTTTTTTTGCCCACCTCTTGATACCCATTAGGTATCAAGAGTTGGGCAAGATCCTCACAGAAGGTGACCTCTTCCCAATCCAGGAAACTATTCATGGTAATCTCATTCCCTTTTGGTGGGAATTGGTTTAAAAGGGTGCATTGTAGGCTGTGCACGGTGGCTCATGCCTGTAATCCCAACACTGTGGGAGTGCTAGGTGGGCTGATCACTTGAGGTCAGGAGTTCAAGACCAGCCTGGCCAACATGGTGAAACCCTGTCTCTACTAAAAATACAAAAATTAGCCAGACATGGTGGCACACGCCTGTAATCCCAGCTACTCAGGAGGCTGAAGCAGGAGAATCATTTGCACCCGGAAGGCGGAGGTTGCAGTGAACCGAGATCGTGCCATTGCACTCCAGCCTGGGCAACAGAATGAGACCCTGTCTGAAAAAAAAAGGGTGCATTGCCCCACTTCTGACAAAGAGGACACAATGCAAAGTGTACTGGAGAAATGTTCTTCTCTGGCAAGTCAGGTCTGTAGGGGTGGGGCTAGCTGCCTGCCCAACCCTTCTTGCCTTTGGATATTGTTGTAAGAGGATGGAAGTTTGGAGCGGCTGCAGCCATCTTGCAACCATGAAGCAAGATAATGCTAATATATAGAGGTTGGCAGAGTGGGAAAAGGTCTGCCCCTGGCTATTTTGTTGTTTTACTTGTACTAGCATGTACCTGTGGCTTAAAACAAAGAAGAAAAAATACTGTACACAGGCTCCTGGAACCCATTTGCCTGCATGTGCAGTGTCAGAAATGCCTGGGATTTACATTTCTACCAGGGCAGCCTTTACCCATAACTGTCTGATGCAGAAGTCTGAAAGCCTAGCACCTTTGCTTTGAATTGGGACAACCTCTGAGGCATACTTTACACTCCAGAGCTTGCTGAAGGATCAGGCTGAGGCCTGGACTTTGCTTGAAATCAACCTTTGACTGGAGTCTTCCCTTCCCTGTCCTGCTCCCCCCACCCCCACCCCCTGCCAGACACCCCTGGGAGCACTTCCTTAATCAATCGCTTGCACACAAATCGTTAGCTTCTTCTGGGGGACCTGTCGTATCACCAGGGCTTACACATCACAGCTGCTCTGTAAATATTTGTTGCCTGAGTGAATGAATACATGAATGGATGAACAAGCTGGGGAAATCACAGGCAGGTGGAATCTGAACAGGTTATTATACTAATTACAGGCTGTCTACTTTTTTTCCCTTTGCCTCTGTGAAACAGGTTGGCCCTTTGGGGAATTTCCCCAAAGCTTTTGAAGCAGACAAGGTGTCTTCTCGCTAGACTCATATGCTTCCTAATTGGGCAGGCCATTAGAAAATGAGTTCATCTCCCCAGGGAAGGAGGAGGGGACTTATCACTCAGGACAAGGGCCCTGGGGTGGGGACAAAACTGCCTGAACATCTGCAATGTCTATTGTTACTTGAGCAGCTGGAGGGAATGACCATTCTGGAATAAATCAACTAAACCTTTGACCTGAACTCCAGTTTAATTCACTCTTCCCCTCCATTAGCTAGTGTGAGGGATGGTGGGGGGGCAGAAGGGGAGGGATAACATATTTTATTTTTATGGCATTTTTATTCCAAATGACCTGTTGGGTCAAACCCACTCTCCTTTCATGAATTATGCATTAAAGGAGCCCTTTTGCTTTCCTAATGGCTTTAGTTGAGTTCACCTCCCAGAAAGATAAAACAAAAAATCAAGAATTTCAGTTAAAAAGTTCACCTCTTGCCATATCAATTGACATGGTTTTAATTGGGTCATTCCATAAAGAGTCTCTGTTGATACAATTTTCAAGCTTCCTAGGGTCTTAGAAATCATCCAACTCTATCCTTGTATTTCAGGAGGGAGGATAAAGAACCTGGAGATGAGAAATGACATGCCCAAGTTCACACAGCTACTGAGTGTCAACAGCTATTAAGAGAAAGGGATGGGAATATTCCACTCACTTTATTTCCAGTCCAGTGTTCTTTTGTGCAAGGAAACCTAGAGAGGTAATATAGTTGCCATGGCTGCAGAACAAATTGTTCCAAAACCTAGTGGCATAAAACAATCACTCGTGGATTCGGTGGATTGGGAATTCGATAGGGCAAATGCTTCTCCATGCTTCTTGGTGTCTGCGGACTGAGCTGAAAGGGACAAAGGCTTGGGGCTGGGTTCATCTGAAGACCTGTTCATTCACGTGAATGCTGTCTGTTGACTGAGGCTTTAGCTGGAGTCATTGGCTAGAACCTCTATATGTGGCCTCTCCATGTGGTCTGGGCTTCCTCACAACATGGTGACTGGATCCCAAAGGAGAGAGTCCTGAGAAAAAGAGAGAGAGAGAGAGAAATAAAGATTGGTGGAAACTTTTATTGACTTAAAGTCACTCAGTGTCACTTCCACAACATTCTATTGGTCATAGCAGTCCAACCGGTTTCAAGGACAGGGAACGCAGATCCTGTATCTCAATGGAATAGTGTTAGTCACATTGAAAGAGAGCATATTGAAGCCATCTTTGGAAAATACAATCTGCCACAAGAGAGTTAGGGCTAGTACCCATTAAGTTTGGCTGAACTGTTAATTTAGTATCTGTCTTTCCTATTGGATTATAATTTCCTAAAAGGCAAGGCGTGTGTCTGTCTTGTTTGCTGGCAAACCTGTGTCCAGCACAGGTGCCGCTGACTCAGAGTAAGAAATTAATATATTTTTGTTTGGAAAGTAAGTATCAAAAAGAAAGTCTTCATTGGCTAAAAATATACTCAAAGATTTTCCTCTCCTCTTCTCAGTAAACTTTCCCATTCATCAAGAACTTGACAGCCGGGTGCGGTGGCTCATGCATCTAATCCCAGCACTTTGGGAGGCCGAGGAGGGTGGATCATTTGAGGTCAGGAGTTTGAGACCCGCCTAGCCAACATGGTGAAACCCTGTCTCTACTAAAAATACAAAAATTACCGAGGTGTGGTGGTGGGCGCCTGTAGTACCAGTTACTAAGGCGGCTGAGGCAGGAGAATTGCTTGAACCCAGGAGGCAGAGGTTACAGTGAGCCAAGATCATGCCACTGCACTCCAGCCTGGGTGGCAGAACGAGGCTCCATCTCAAAAAAAAAAAAAAAAAAAGAAAAGAAAAGAAAAGAACTTGAACACCAGTACCATCTTCCCTAGAGAGTTGATTGATTGGGAGAGATACTTAGCTTAGTCTTAGTCAGAGACGTTGTCCTGGGGGGTGTTATATGTAAGAGGAGCCCTGGAGGATGAGAAGGGGAAGCCAAATGAAGAGGCAGGAGGAAGAGCACCCCAAACAGAGGTAATAGCCTGTGCAAAGGTGGGAGTCAAGCCGTTCAGCATGGTGGGCACAGAGTTTGAGAGATTTGAGAGATGAGTAGCAAAAAGTCAGTAGGCTGGAGGGGCAGGCAGGACCTGGGTTATAAGGAGGACTTAAATGTCACCTGGAGGAGTTTGACTCATCCCTCAGAGTGGTGGGAAGCCACTAAGGAAGTGGCACCATCACATTTATGTTGGAAGGATCTGACTGCAGGGTGGGTGGTAGGATGTGGGGTGAGGAGGTGGACATCGTGGGAAGTGGGAGGCAGGTTGGGACATTGCTGGCAGAGATCATGATGCCAGAGCCGCATTAGAGGGCCGTGGGGCTGGCAGGAAGTGGGGGGATATTTCCAAGGAGGATTTAGTGACTAGTGACTAAATGGTGTAGGGCTGAGGCGGGGGCTGGGCCTGTCTGTCCTCAGTCTCTGGTTCAGGTAAGCACGTGGACAGTGGTCCTAGGCATCCAGCAGGGAACTCTGGAGGAGATGCAAGCTTTGAAACGGGGCTGAGGAGGAGTTCAGTGCTTTGGACACGTTTAGTTCCAGATGCCAGAGAGACATCCAAGAGTGAAGGTTCTAGTAGGCATTTGGATTCAGGAGACCAAAACTCACAGAGTAGTCCTGGCTATAAATTTGGACTGGGACCCAATACAGAGATGGAAACTGAAGGCACAGGAGTAAATGTACTCACAGTGGGAGGATGGGAAGAATGGGAGCAGAGCCATGGGTAAAGCATGTTTCCAGAAGGTTCTCCTGAGAGACCCAGGAAGGAAAGGAGCAAAATTCCATAGGATCCACAAGAGAGGAGTCATTGGCAATTTTCATAAGGACAGTTCCCCTTGTGATATATGGGAAGAAGGCAGATGGCAGAGTTGAAGAATAAGAAGGAGGTGAGAGAGTGATGAATGAATGAATAGCATTCCAGCAAAGTCTTCACATGCCTCCTCTAGGTCTGCTAATTCTGGAGATTCAGAATGGATTTGCCAAGAAAACTCCCAACGACCAGCCAGGAGAGGAATCTTTTCCACCAAGCTCTCTCTGTTTCAGAAAATAACCAATGTGTGTGTTGACCTCAGCATCCCTCCCTAGCAACCAGCATCTGTGTTTAAATTCGTGGGGGAGGGGTGCTATTATCTTGTGGCTATCCACACAGCTTCTGTGGTTACATCTGTTGTTTTTGTCTGTACAATAGCCATTTGTCATCATTTGGCTATTAACACCTCGATCTGGCTGGGACTCACTCCTTATCCCTGGCTCTGGGGATGGCACGTGTCCCAACCGTGGCCAATAAGACTCAGGCCTGAGATTTTTTGGAAACTATTGAGAAAGAGAAGCACCCCTTAGGCAGGGATGGCTGCCACCACCCCTATTAGGACTGGAGACATCCTGCCAGCAGAGACAGAAACAGATCCAAGAGACAGAGGGAGAAAAACAGTCTTGATAGCACTTCATGAGCTCCTGGATCCAGCCATGCCTGATACCATTTAATCCTTGGGCTTTTCAATTACATGAGTCAGTAAATTATCTATGTTTGCCTGTCAGAAAGGGTTTTGTGAGTTCTAGCACTGAACGAATGGTCCCAGCAGGAACAAACTGCCTAGGGATGGGGGCATAGGAGTGGAGTTGGTGGAGGAGGTTTACTTGATTTCCCCTCAGACATTTCACCAGGCATCTCATCCCCCAAGTTGCTACCTTAGCAATTCTCCCTCCTTTTTGCAGTCATCCTTCCTATTGTTTTTGCTTGTATTCCTATCTTTTTGTAAACTCCTCCTTGCTTAAAAAGCAGCATCTGAGATGCTGGCCTGAGGCCGTCTGCCCTTCCCAAGAGAATACACATGCTTGCTATTCTTTACAGTAAAACCAAGGTCCACATTGTGTTTCCCCAGGGCTCCCAGAACCTGAGTTGAGAGGTGGGGATTTTGCAGGGACTCCATCAGTGTGCAGCATCTGTACCTGCCTCCAGCGACTGCTGACACGAGCGGCCACATCTCCACACTTTCGCCCCACTACCTTATGTGTGCCACAACCCCTCCAACAATGCAAACTCTTGTTCATTTGCTCAGAACATGAATGAATCATGCCAGGGAAACTCCTGGCCACTGGACCACATTTTGCTGTGTTAGCAATAAACATCCCTTCATATTGTCATCATAGCCACAGGGGAAGACAGAGGTCTCCTGGCAGAGGAAGGGCGTGACACATTCCGCACTCTTTCTACTCCCTCCCTATGTCAGCCCTGATCTTTGTTTCCTTCTTTTTGCTTCAGAGCAAGCCTCCTTCTAAGGCCTTTAATTCCATGGATCATATTTTCTGTCTAGCTTCCATTTAATGGCCTGTCATGGGCCCATACCATGCCAGCTCCTGGGCGTAGTGGGGTTTGTGTATTTCAGTGTGGGCTTGCAGAATGACCCTGCATTATTTACTTTCCATCCTCATTGAGAATTATCAGGCTTAGGTGGGTTCCTCCCACCCTTCTTGAACTCTTCTTCCTATCCTCCATCCACCCTCTTCCCTCTATTTTATTCTTCCTGTCTGTCTTTCCTTCTCTCTTTCCTTCCTTTATTTTTTCCGTTTCTGTCGCTTCCTGTCTCCCCCCATGCCCTGGACTTTGGTCCTGTGGTTCCAGTAAAAGGAAAACATAGGGAATAATACGAAAAGCAGCCAGGCTTAGCCAATAAATCCTCTAATGCTTGTAATGGTTTTATTTTCTTCATGTTCATTCTAGTTTAAGAGGTCAATCAACATCTTTGAAATGCTTGTGGTTTACTACATGGAATCTTTAATTGAGGCACAGAAAACTCCTCTCTCCCTCTCTCCGTCTTCCTTCCCTCTCTCTCTTCCTTTCATTTGTTTAATAAATGTTTTTTGAGGGTTTTTTCTGGGGCAGGCCCTGGGCTAACTGCTAGGAATGGTGACTAGAAACATGGGTATGATCCTTGCTCTGATGATCTTACATCTATTGGGAGACACATGTTTTCACCAGATAATTCCACGTAAATGTATTCTCATAACCTCAGCAAATGCTTTGAGTTTCCACGATGGTCTACAGAGACACTGACCCCGACTATGGAGGTGTGGAGGGTTCCTCAAGGAGCTGATTTGAAGGATGAGTTTGCTTTTCTTTTTTTTGAGGGGTGAGGCGGGATGAAATCTCGTTCTGTCCCCCAGGTTGGAGTGCAGTGGCGTGTTCTCGTCTCACTGCAACCTTCGCCTCTCGGGTTCAAGCGATTCTCCCACCTCAGTCTCCCAAGTAGCTGAGACTACAGGCACCTTCCACCATGCATGGCTGATTTGTGTATTTTTAGAAGAAATGGGGTTTGACTATATTGGCCAGGCTGGTCTTGAACTCTTGACCTCAAGTGATCTGCCTGCCTCAGCCTCCTAATGTGTTAGGATTACAGGCATGAGCCACTGCCCCTGGCTTGAAGGGTGAGTTTTCTAGGTGAAGATCAGAGGAAAGAGCATTCCAAGCAGAAGGAACAGAATATGCAAAGGTCCTGGGGTGAGAGGAAGCAAAGCACCTTCATGGAATGTAAGAACAGTGTTACTGGGACAGAGAATGGAGAAGAAGAGGCCAGCGGGTGAACGGGGGCCAGATGTTCAGGACCTTTACCCTAGGTAAGAGTTTGGGTCTTCACTCCAAAAGCAAAGGAATGCCATGGCAGAGTTTCACCTGCCAGTGGAGGTGAGTGGGGATAATCAGTGCTGCATTCCTAAGCTCCAGCCTGGCTCTTGCTGCAATCTGGGTCGGGACGGGAGGCTCCTTGGGTGACCTGGGTGTGCTGGGTCAGATGTGGCATTGGTGCCAGGGTCTGGATTGAGGGTGCCAGGTTATTGTTCTGGCTTTTGGAAAGGGAGATAATCCTGCCTATAAACTTCCTGCGTGGGTTAGAGGATCCTATGAGATTAGCAGGTGGAAGAAGCATCACTGAGTACTGATGAGACCTTTGAACTGGAGACAGACATATTTGACTTTGTTAGGAGATCTTGGGCGGGTTTGCAGTTTCTCTAATCTCAATTACCTTTTCTATAAAATGGGGATATTAACACTAATGAATCTGGGTTATTTCTCTCTGCTGGTCATCCCTTTTTCAATTAGGATATGACCATCCCATGTGTGTCTGGTGGGACTGGCAACCCCTGTTCCCCCAATCCCTATTGGGTGAAGGGAGTGAGCATGTGATCTAGTCCCAGAAAATCATTGTGCCCCATGTCCCTGTCCACAGAAACTGATTTAAGGGAGTGGCCTAATCAGAGTCCCTCCATGAGATATGACATGGGGCTGTTGGAAGACAGCGTATCTTGCTTTTATATTATGAGTTGTAAGAGCACAGACTTGAGCTACTGGTATCCAATTTTCCTGGAAATAAAAAAAAAGAAAGAAACAGGGAGATTGGTGGGGATGGGGGAGGAGAGGGAGACAGAGAGGGAGAGAGAATCCCGTTTGAGAAACTTTGTTTGAGACCCTGGATTTAGTGGTTCCTGAAGCCAAGAATACTCCCTTGAATCTCTCAGTTAAGGAACCCATAAATGCCCATTTTGGCATAAGCCAGTTTGAGTTGGGGTTTGTCACCCACAACAGATGTGCTCTGCCTGATGCATCAAGTCATTGGGTTAATGGCAGTAAAGCACTGAAAGTCAGTATGAAATCTAGGCATGCAGAGTGCTCAGTAGTCACTATTGTTACTGTATTGGTGATAATTCATAGCTATAGAATGCATCGCTAAAGTATGGGCTGCTTCTCATCCCTGGGGTGTGGCCTCATGTTGCCCCACAAAAGGCTGTTAGCCACCACCATGATGCTTTCCTATTTGAAAGCCTTAGACAATGACTTGAGTTCTCCTTCTCTGCCTCCTCATCTCCCTCCAAAATTTGTGACTCCAGGCCAGGCTCAGTGGCTTATGCCTATAATCCTAACACTTTGGGAGGCCATGGCAGGCGGATCACTTGAGGTCAGGAGTTCGAGACTACCCTGGCCAACATGGCTAAACCGTGTCTCTACTAAAAATACAATAATTATCTGGGTGTGGTTGGGGGAGCCTGTAATCCCAGCTATTTGGGAGGCTGAGGCAGGAGAATTGCTTGAACTGGGGAGGCAGAGGTTGCAGTGAGCTGAGATAGTGCCACTGTATTCCAGCCTGGGTGACAGAGCAAGACTCTGTCTCAAAAAAAAAAAAAAATTAATCGTGACTCCAGTGTCCCCTGAGACTCTCTTGAAGTGACAGTGTTAGCCACTAGAGAGTGACCTGAAAGACGTGACTATGTTTAGATCTAATTCCAGAAGACCAGTCCCCTCCCAATCCAGTGGATTTCCCACTAACTTTTTTTTTTTTTAACAAAATGTAACAGCTATCTACTGCTGTATAATAAATTAGCCCAAAACTTGGTGACTTACAACAACAGAGATCTATTATTTCAAACCTTCTATTGGTCCGGAATTCAGAAAAGCTTAGTTGAGTAGTTCTGGCTCAAGGTCTCTCATGAGGCTTAAGTCATGACATTGGCCAGGGCTGAGGTCATCTGAAGGCTCAATAGGGGCTGGAAGATTCACTTCCAAAATAGAGCACTCATGGCTATTGGAAGAAGACTTCAGGTACTTGACATGGGAACTTCTCCATAGGACTGTTGAGTGTCCTTACAATATGGCAGCTAGCTTCCCACTCACCCCCCTACCCTCCCAGTGAGTTACCTAAGAGAGAGGAAGATAGAAACTGCCATGTTTTTTATGACCTAATCTGAGGAGTCACACTCTGTTATTTTTGCAATATCCTACTGATTGCACAGATGGGCCCCATTCAGTGTGGGAGGAGGTTGCACAAGGGCATGATCCCAGGAGGCCCAGGAATCACTCGGGGCCATCTTGGAGGATGGCCACTGCACTTATGAGGGGCAGTGGTTATCATTAAGTATCATTAAAGTTAGCAGTTTCTTCTTAGTCTGGTGGGACTTCTCTTCCCTGAGGAGTCCTTTGGATGCTCAGGATAACATAGCATCACCGAGGCACAAAAAAAACAAAAAAAAACCACTCTTCCTACAACTTTTGCTGGAAAGAGCTTTTAGCAGAGCTTGCAAATAACTCCTTAAATAAACTAGTGAAATGATGAAACTAATTTGCTGGTCTGTAATTTCCTGGCACATCTGGAGATTTACTAATAAATAGTAGCTGCAGCTTGGAAACCTGCCAGAATTACAGCCCTCTCCTGAGGGCTCCTTTTTTTGTCAATAAGGGATGTGTAAAAGCATCTTGGAGGGTTGGGAAGGCTGGTATATTGAGGAGAAAGAGCATTGGATGCCTGGGTTTGAGAGATGTCTTTGTCTCTTAACCACTGTCGTATTTCAAGTGAAACACATTCTTCTCTGTGCCTAAGTTTCTCCCTCTGGGAAAAGTGATGATAACCATGGACTTTCCTGACTTGCAGGGCTATGATGAGGTTTGAATGAGATGATGTAGCGTTTCTAAAAGAGTGGTACCTGGGATGATAGCACCATGGACTGTTCACCCCAAAAGGGGTCCTGTGCTGAAGTGAACGTGGAGAATTGTGTTAAATGAAGTCCAACCTTCACTTGCCTTCCCTGGCCACAGGTGGGTCCAGCTTCTTGGATGAGGGCCCAGTGCATCTGCACAGGGCCCCGTGCTCAGAAGGGCCTGCATTTGGAGTTTAATGCTTTGCAGTTGCTGTCTTGAAAATGTTTTATTAATTTATTTACTTATTTATTTTTGGAGAAAGGGTCTTGCTCTGTTGCCAAGGCTGGAGTACAGTGGCTTGATCTTGGCACACTGCAGCTTCCATCTCTCGGGCTCAGGCGATCCCCTGCCTCAGCCTCCCAAGCAGCTGGGACCACAGACATGCACTACCATGCCCGGCTAATATTTTGTATTTTTGGTAGAAATACGGTTTCGCCATGTTGCTTGGGCTGGCCTCAGACTCCTGGGTTCAAGTCATCCACCCGCCTCAGCTGGGATTACAGGCATGAGCCACCATGCCCCGCTGAAATTCTTAATACTTTTTTTTCTTTTTATTTCAGGCAGTGGCAATGTTAGACAAGATATTTTTATTTATTTATTTAGAGATCGCGTCTTCACTCTGTCGCCCAGGCTGGAGTGCAGTGGTGCAATCTGGGCTCACTGCAACCTCTGCCTCCTGGGCTCAAGCAATTCTCCCACCCCAGCCACCCAAGGAGCTGGGACTACAGGTGCCTGGCACCATGCCCAGATAATTTTTGTATTTTTAGTAGAGACGGGGTTTCACATGTTGGCCAGGCTGGTCTCAAACTCCTAACCTCAAGTGATCTGCCTGCCTTGGCCTCCCAAAGTGTTGGGATTACAGGTGTGAGCCACAGAGCCCAGCCTAGACAAGATATTCTTAGTAATTTTATCCTTGAAGTTGTGTTTTTTAAGTGAAGTCTGATGGGACAATGAAATGTGTGTCAGTGGCTTGGGGTCTTGACTCACATGTAGCCCCCTGCCCCACTGCTCCCTAGGGTGGGTTCTCAGCGGCCTGCTCCCCTTCACCGGCCTCCACTGGCTGGCTGTGCCCTGAGACCATACCACCCAGGGCCCCAAACCATGGTGCTCAAGGCCCATTGGCCTGAGAGGAGGCCCCATTTGTTGTCATCCTCTGCCCCGCTCAGGGGCCTGTGTGTAGGTAAGGAGAGGGCTGGGATCCAGTGCCCGATGCACAGTGTCTCAGGTCAGGGCAAGGTGGCAGCTATTCCAGTGTGGAGCTGACAGCACCTCTGCACATTTAGCAGGCAACTCAGTGGGGACCTCTCACCTACCTCTAACCCCGGTACTGAGGAAGTTGCAACCCCTTGGGGATTGTCTGTATGCTGTGATTTGAGGTGCCCATGAGAAGAGGAAAACGACTTCCCCACTGCCAGCCAGGGTGGTACATTTTCACTTTGCATTGGGTGCTGCAAATTATGCAGCAGGTCCTGCCTGCAGGACCTGTCAGATCCTTTGATAAAAATGTGTAGCAGGTCAGAATGCAGACATGGGAGCCAAACTGCCTGGGTTCAGGTCATGGCTCCACCACATACTGCAGTTTTGTCCTTGGCTAAGTCACCTGACTTTTCGGAGCCTCTGTATTTCCTCCCTCTTTCTTTCCTTTCTTTTCCTTCCTTCCTTCCTTCCTTCCTCCCTCCCTTCCTTCCTTCCTTTCTTCTTTCTTTCTCTTTCTCTCTTTCCTTCTTTCCCCCTTTCCTCCCATCCCCTCCCATCCTGTCACCTCTCCTCCCCTCCCCTTTCTTTTCCACAGAATCTCACTCTGTCACCCAGGCTGGAGTGAAGTGGCGAGATCTTGGCTCACTGCAACCTCTGCCTCCCGGGTTCAAGCATTTGTCCTGCTTCAGTATCCTGAGTATCTGAGATTACAGGCACCCACCACCACGCCCAGCTAATTTTTTTTTTTTTTGTATTTTTAGTAGAGATGGGGTTTCGCCATGCTGGCCAGGCTGGTCTCGACTCCTGATCTCCAGTGATCCATCCACCTCGGCCTCCCAAAGTGTTGGGATTACAGGTGTGAGCCACCGTGCCGGCCTCTGTGTTCTCATCTCTAAAATAATGATTGTGAAGTTCCTACCTTGAGGTTTGTTCTGAGGATTCAATCGGGTAGTACATGTAAACTCTTGCCCTCCATGCAGTGAGTTTTAGCTAATACCGTGTTTCTTGTTTAATCCTTGTTTCCCCCAGAGTCTGCAATGTTCCTGGGGCAGAACTGTCTGTCTGGTGTCCTGCTATGATCCTGGTGCCCAGCACCATGCCTAGAATAGATTAGGTACTCCATGAGCACTTGTTGAATGAATGACTCTCCAAGAGGGGGCTTCCCCCCACCCATACTCACCCCATCCGCTTTTTATCCAGAGAACCTTACAGAATCAGTGTCCTGCAGACTGCACATTTAGGGAACGCTGAGCTTGCCTGTGGCGCAAAACACCTCGCAGGTGCAGGCAGCAGTATCAGTAGCCTTTGGAAGGTCCTTTCCCTCCTCTTTGTCCTCTGGGACTCGGTGTCTCATCCCTGCTGGGAATGGCTCTTCTAGACCGCCCACAAGCCAAAGCCAGGGCTTCATAACTCACTCTGCCTCCCCAGCCTCCCCTGTCCTTAACTGGACCAATCTGTCTGCTTGACATCGCGCTCTGGTTCGTTTTCTTCACAAAGCCCTCTCCTGTCAGTTGACAGATTCTCAACTGTCTAGGCACATTTTTCAATGTGTGCTCTTCCAGTGATTCCTCGGCCAGGTTTCTGTTCTTTTTCAACCTACTGAATTTTATAATTTCACAATGGTTTACCTCGCCTTTCATGATTCTTCTCCATCTCCACTCTCCAACGTTTTTCCTGCGGGCTTCCAGCTTCTTGCCAATGAAGCCATGGGTTCTGGGGACCCTTTAAGGAAGCCTGATGTATTCAGCTATGTGGTGAACCACAGCCTTAACTGGGATGCCTCCAAAAGCTGGCCCTGAGACAAGGGTTGGGTGCAATTGTTTATCTGGAAAGCTACCCAGAAAGCAAGAGTGAGGGAGAAGGAGAGAGGGAAGAGAGAAAGGCTGCTAACCATGCCTTATTTTACTGCTTAGCCGCTGGGTAACTTGCAAGGCATCATAGATGTAGAATGTGCCTTTGCATTGTCCTTTTGTGGGGAGGAGAGGCTGGGGCATTTATCCACTGACTCTCACTCCCTTAATGTTGAGGTGTTGTCCCTGGGAAAATGAACATCCTTGCGCTTCTACCTGTGCCCATCAACTAAGTGGCTTTTCCCTGCTTTGGGGAAAACCTCTGCAAGTGTGCTTGAGGTGGGATTCTGGAAATGTCTGCCAAACTCTCCATCAGAGCTTCAGTGAAATCAGGTGGCCATGAGGATGTGATCTGGTGCACGCAGATGTCTGCTGTGGCTGGTCACACGCATAGGACTCCTTGAGTTTGGGATTGTCACTTGGGGTGCAGACTCCCTGAGCATACATTTCTTTGTCTTCTGTTTAAGCATCCAATTATTAAGGCTTTCTGCTGTCTTTGGGGCAGACTCCAGTCAGTTGGCACCCCTACCAGAAGGACTGTCAAGTCCCCAAAAAGAAAGCGAGGTCTAACCAGGCAGTTCTGTAAGTTCTGTCTCTGGTCATCAGGCTGCTGAGAGGGAAGGTGCTGGTGCTCTCAGATCATAGGAGGGAATGGGTCTCCCCATGACTTCCTTGGTCCATAACTGCATTTGGGTGGTGTCCTGGATGCAACTGTAATGCAAGTCACACTTTATGTATTGATGATTCTGAAGATGATGAGATGAATTAGATTATTTTCCTCCAATTGATCTATCTCCCCTGTCTTGTCCCTTAACATCCTGGGTGGATTTCATAGGTTGACTGCAACCTTTTTCTGCCTCACAGACTCCAATTCTCTCCTGCTTTTTCTGGAATGGATTTGAAAATCCTGTTTCTCATGGGAGTCCAACCAGGAATGAAATGCCTGGCTTCCCTTGCAAGCACCCCCAATCTCTACAAGCTACTCTCCTCTCTTAACTGGAGGAAAGAGAAGCAGTTCCCACCAGCAGTACCAACCCTGTTCCATCCCTGAGTCTGTTAATAAAAGTTGGAGGGGGGGAAGTAAGTGATCGTGGTTGGGCCAATTTGGGCACCTCTTAATATGCCTGGGTGGGCCAGGTGCAGTGGTTCATGCCTGTAATCCCCGCGCTTTACAAGGCTGAGGTGGGAGGCTGGCTTGAGCCCAGAAGTTTGAGACCAGCCTGGTCAAGATGGAGAGACCCCATCTCTACACATGCGCGTGCACACACACAAGCCTAGATGATGAACTCATGGCCTCTTAGTGGCTCCCTTTAGGAATGGGGTTTTTGTTTTTGCCTGGGGTCTGTAAGCTTGGATGGGAAGATTTATTTTTTATATTTGTTCATCTCTAGGTAAAAGCTGACATTTCTTTCTGTTCAAAATGTAAACACCAACCCCCCCATAGTATTAGTAGTGCCTATGACTTTGTTACCCTTCACAATCAGAAATCACACTACAGTTGTCACAGATATTTAAAAGTAACATTTTACACTCATCTCTATGTAAAAATTACAGTAGTAATTAGACTCATTGCTAGATCTTGTTATTTAATGTATTAATAAAGAAGAAACAAGAGTATTACTATATCATAAATTTGTGGGGGTTTTTTTGGGTTTTTTTGTTGTTGTTTTTTGAGACGGAGTCTCGCTGTCGCCCAGGCTGGAGTGCAGTGACGCGATTTCGGCTCACTTCAAGCTCCGCCTCCCGGGTTCACGCCATTCTCCTGCCTCAGCCTCCTGAGTAGCTGGGACTACAGGCGCCGCCACCACGCCCGGCTAATTTTTTTTTGTATTTTTGGTAGAGACAGGGTTTCACCATATTAGCCAGATGGTCTCGATCTCCTGACCTCGTGATCCGCCCGCCTCAGCCTCCCAAAGTGCTGGGATTACAGGCGTGAGCCACCGCGCCCGGCCCATAAATTTGTTTAATATTTTGACAGCTGTATCGTGAGTTCTCTGCAATCCTATGTATTTTGTTTTGTGCATTTAAAACCATTAGTTTGAAAAGGGATCGATTGCTTCACTGATACCAACAGGATTCATGGCACAAGAAAAGATCAGAAACTGTGCTTTGGAGCATGTGGGCTCTTTGTGCCTAATGTCTAGCTTGGGGCTTAGGCCACAATGCTAGGACTAAAGGAAAAGTCATCTTCAACTTCCTGTCACCCATAGGCAGAGGGACTCCATGTCATGGTTTGCCTGGGACAGTCCCTTTTACTCCAGCTGTCTGGACTTCATTATTCACATTGCTCCCTTTCATTCTTAAAGTCACCATGGTTTGGAGTAGGTGGAGTGGTCATTCACACGTTTGTGGTAAGATTGGAAGAATCTCTTGCTTACCTAGTGCCTGAAATCCCACTATTGTTTTGGGTTAAGCATTGCAATAGGATCTTGCTTAAAATGCAGAGTCGTGTGATTGATTGTGTGTATGTGCACTCACTTGTGTGGGTGTGGGGGGAATGGGTGAATACCATGAGTCCTAGTTTGAATTGGTTTTTCAGATTGCATTCCTGAATAGTGGGGAGGACCTGGACAAAGTTAAACCCACGAAGTGGGGAGGGGGATCCATGGGAGGAAGACGTTTGGCCTCTCTCAGCCCCACGAGGTCCCCGAGGGAGAGTTCCCAGACTAGGCTGGCCTCGGACCCAAAGCAGACAGATGAACCTTGTGACTTTTGGCCCTGGGCAGGCGCCTAAGCTTGGCTGTGAACTTGGTTTTACTCTGATGGTGAGAAAAGCCCAGGTAATATGTGAGCCCCTCATAAGAGCCAGTATTGCTCCCTGATACTCTCCTGGCAAACCCTCATCCTTCCCACAGTCCCTTCCAAGCAAGAGGAGGAGCACCAAGACAGGAAAGGCACCTGAGGAGGGATCAAGTCCCAGATCCCAAAGGGACCCCTCCAGGCCTTGAACAATTTGCTCATCACACTGATCGAGCCCTCCTGGGTTCCAGTGCTGCCTCCTCTCCTCCCGAGTGTCCTTGGGTGAGGTACCTTTTTGAGCCTCAGTTTCCTCATCTGTAGAATGGGGGTAAATAGTAACCATTGGGGAGTGTCCCAACTGAGACCAATGCCCCCTCATATAAGGATACTTCCAGGAGGGCTGATTTACAAAGGAGCCTGGTGTGGGGGAAGAGTAGGGAAGGTGCAGTCTCCCACAGTAGCCATGTTTCTAGGCCAGGAGGGGACAGCAGGAGGGAGCAGATACTAGAAATGGGAGGATGGGTCCCATACGGAAGGCTGCTGTGAGACGATCAGTGACTTCTGGTGGAGGGACAGGTCCAGCAGAAGTCAGGGAAGGTACCAGGGGGATAAGTACCCCAGCCTCAACCTTCTCCCTCCCTCCACTTTCCTGCCAGGGCTGTTCAACTGGTCCAACCAACAGGATGCCAGAGGCAAGAAGGCACGTTAACATAGCGCTCGCCAGTCAGACTTCTGGGCACAAAGCAGGGTGGAGAAGGGCAGAGCATGGACCTGAAGGGCAGCAGAAGCCCACCCACATGTGATCCTGTAGCTGATGGCTGAGCATTAGCCCACTAGAGCCTCGCAATAGCCCCATTCCTCATTCAGGGGCTGGCACATAAAAGTCTCATTAAATAGTCACCAAATGAATGAATGAATGCATACCTCCTACCTGCTAACAGAAGTGCCTGTGCCAGCTCCTTACTATACTGTGAACCCCAAGAGAGAGGTGTTGGGGCCAAGAGCAGCCTGAATCTACCCTGTGGCTGGCCATGAGGAAGGTATTGGACGGAACTGATGAACTTGCTTTGTGTGGAGTGTGGATGCCAAATGGCCTTGCAATGTGAATCCTTGGGACCCCACAGGCCACCAAGAACACAGAAAACTTATGTTCAAGTTCCCTTTCTCTGTTGATGTGAAGGCTATATTAGTCCATTTTCATGCTGCAATGAAGAAATACCCGAGACTGGGTAATTTATAAAGAAAAAGAGGTTTAATGGACTCACAGTTCCACATGGCTGGGGGGTCCTCACAATCATGGTGGAAAGTGAAGGAAGAGCAAAGGCACATCTTACATGGCGACAGGCAAGAGAGCGTGTGCAGGGGAACTGCCCTTTATAAAACCATCACATCTCATGAGACTTATTCACTATCTTGAGAACAGCAGAGGAAAAAGCCACCCCCATGATTCAGTTACCTCCCACCATGTCCCTCCCATGACATGTGGAGATTATGGGAGCTAAGATTCAAGACGAATTTGGGTGGGGACACAGCTAAACCATATCAGAGACAGAATGGAAGCTTCTTGGTGTGGGAATTCCAGAAGGCACAGGCAAAGCTGGTTTGTGTGGCGTTTTCAGGGGAGCCTAGATTCTACAATTTCCTTGCAGTGCTAGTGGGGAATGGCACAGAAAACCCACTGCAGTCCAGCTTTCCTTCTCTTCTTTATTACTCTTAGAGTAAGCTTATAGAGGTCATATAACTTTATTGTAAAGAAAACCAAATCAGCAATCACAAATAAGCAGAAAAGAAACAATAAAAAATGATCACTGTCATATAATTGATTAATATTTTGGTGCATATCTTTCTAGATTCTTTTCTACTCTGGCTTTCTTTTTATCAGGATCCTGTTGTTTCCAACCAAAGCCAAAATAGCTAACATGCTGGCTGAGCACGGTGGCTCACATCTGTAATCCCAGCACTTTGGGAGGCCTAGGAGGCGGGTGGATCATTTGAGATTAGGGGTTCAAGACCAGCCTGGCCAACATGGTGAAACCCTGTCTCTACTAAAGATACAAAAATTAGCCAGGTGGTAGTGGCATGTGCCTGTAATCCCAGCTACTCGGGAGGCTGAGGCAGGAGAATAGCTTGATTGGAGGTGGAGGTTGCAGTGAGCCGAGATTGCACCACTGCACTCCAGTCTGGGCGACAGAGTGAGACCCTGTCTCAGGAAAAAAAAAAAAAAAAAGCTAACATGCTTTAAGCACTTTTTCTGTGCAGGTATGGTGCAAAATACTTTACATGCACTAGCTCATTAGATTCTCATTTTTTTAATGGCGGCACAGAGAGGTTAAATGACTTGTCCAAGGGCACACAGCTAGTAAGTAAGGAAATTGGGATTTGAACCTAGGCAGGCTGATTCCAGAGCCCCCATTCTTATATGGGCTGATTGCAAACCAGGTAAGAGATAGCTAGTTTTTCGAAGATCCCATGCCACTGTCTCCTAAGTGACATGGTGCCAGCTAGTGCAATATTAATCACTGCAGCATACAGCCAAAAAAAACTTTTCAGCGCCCCAGTTGAGAAATGAACACTGAACCACAGCGCCCCCTGGCTTACATAGTAATTCTGATTGGCTCACTCTAGGGTCACACTGGCCAGCAAAAATTCAAGACAAACCTTTATTGGGCATCTACTATGTGGCGAGCTCTCTGCCAGCCATTGGGTGTAAAAAGTAGAATAAGGTATAGCTTCTGCCCTCCAGGTATTCTTGCATAGCCAGGAGAGACGCACCTAGAAGACGCACAATAGACGCACCTTCTATTGTGTCAATAGAAGGAGAGCTATGCTCTAATGGAGGGTGTGTACCCGCCAAAGCCCTGCAGACACTATGGGGGAAGGGACTTTCACAAGATCACAGAAAGATCAGGTTTCTGCTCTCACCTCCCTTGAGGCCCCCTCCTCTGATGCCACCTTGAGCTCCCTGGCCTGGCCCCAGTGATAAGATTTCCTTTGGTCCTTCCTCCCTCCAACTGAAACGTATGTGTCTTCCCACTTTTTCTCTCAGCGTGCTGCCAGATGGCCATCTCGCTAATCTCAGAACCTCATTCAAAATCAGGGGGTAATGACTTCTGAGTTTTAACAAGAGCTTTCAGAGCTGAACACCAGGAATCACAAACACAGATGCCCACGGGTTAGGCCGATAACATCAGCGCACTCAGCAGACCAGTATTTGGATGTTAAATATGCAGGAATATTCTTTACTTGCACAAAGAGATATACTCTCACCTATTTTTTTTTTCCTGAAGCACATTGTCCTTTGAGTCTATCTTTTCGTTTTCTATTCATTTTTAATAAATATTAAATACAGCTAACATGCTGTATTTAAATGAGAAATATAAATATTTCTCTACCAGAAGAAAAAAAAATAACAGCACAGCTGATGATAAATGCTAATATTTGGTGGAAAACCAAAGGGACTGGTGACTTAAGGTTCCCTAGGGCAGGCTCTGAGACTTAGGTTCCTCGAGGGCAGGATTTGAATATAAGCAGTTGATTTGGAAGGTGATCCAGGAAATGGCAGCCAGTCAATAAAGGGTGTGAGTTATGGTGAGTTAAACCACTGTGGGCAACTGTGACACAGACTCCAGAGGCCAGCGTCAAAGGTGCCCTTCAGCTGCCCATCTGTGAAATGGGTATTTCTCCATCAGCTCCCACCAGTCATTCATTGGGGTTGCTGAGGATGCTTTAATTTTTCCAGTGTCTCTGGTCTACAATGCGTGTGTGCCAAGCAGGCAAGTCCTCAGGCGAAAGACTACAGGCCTTGGGGATTGGAAGTCAGGCCATCAGACCTCCAAATGGCAAGATCCCAGGACCCAATAGCATTTGCCATAGGCACTGATGATGGTGAGCTGAAGCACGCTCACTCCATCTAAAGGGACAATGTAGCATCCGCTGAATTTCACCAAGGAAGATGTGGACCTAGGGTGGTCAGACCTTCAGCTTTCTCAAGAAAAGCTAGTCCTTTAGATTTTTATGTGAAATTTCTCAACATGTAAATGTTGACAATGAATTCAAATTTTTAAAAATGCACTATAGGAGCCAACCAAAGCATGTCTGTGGACTGAATCTGGCTTACAGGCAGCGAGATGATGAAATCCAATCTACTCTGAAGGCTGATCTTGGCTCCAGACCGTTCTTGCTCCAGACAAGATCTGAAGATGAATTTTGATAAAGGAAAGTGAATGTTTTAGTCAGGAGTAGACTGCATTGATGTAATAAAGGGACCCCCAAGTACAGTGGTGGTAACCAGACAGAAGTGTGTTTCTTTCTCATGTAACAATCTGGAGGTTGGTGGGTGGTTCAGGACATTTCTGCTATATGAGGCTGTCCAGGGACTAGGTTTCTTCTATCTTGTTGCTCAGAGTGTTGTCTTCCTCCACGGGGGTCAAAACTGGCTCCCCAACTTCTTGTCCACATTCCAGCCAATAGGAAAGGAGAAAGAGAAGCTTAATCATTTTAAGGGTCAGATCTGGTCATTGCACAGTTCATGTCCTCTCACATCCCATTGGTGGGGACTTAGTCACATGGTCATGTCTGGCTGCAAGGGATGTTGGGAAATGTAGAATGTGGTCTCTCTCTGTCTCAGTAGCCATAAGGTTCTGTTTAAACTTAGGAATTCTGTTTCTATAGAATTAGGGGAAGACCAATATTAGCAACAAGAAGCCTCTGCCACCATGGAAGAAGGATCTGGAAAGAAGGATGGGATCTCAGCCTGATGGCAGGTCTTACCCAAGAGGGAATTTTTTTCTCAGGAGAGTGAAGAAAGCCTGGCTTTCCTCATCAGCTCTCTTTGTGTTGAATTCATCAGTCATGACAATCATTTGAGAAACCTTAGAAGATCATCCCAAACCTGGAAAAAGTCAGTTACATTAGGAAAGGAGTGAGCATAAAGAGCACCTACTAGAGAGAGGGTCCTTTCACACACATGACCTCATGTAACCTTCACAATCATGCCATGAGGTGGGTAGTATTATCACCACCCCTATCCCCTTTTTTGGAAGAAAGGTTGAGTACCAGAGAAGCAGGGGTGATATTCAAACTCTTTAATTAGGGTTAAGGTATGGGGGCTGACCAATCAGAGCTGCCATACAGATTTGTTTTATCAGAGAAGTAAAGGCCTTGGTCAGGATTTGAAATGAGGCTCATATGACTGCAAAGCTCACATTCTTTTCACCGCAATTTGATTTCCTTATGCCAGCTGCTTCCCCAGAGACAGTGACACCAACTCTTCTGGGTTGTTGAGAGGGTAAACAAACCGTGATGAATGAATCTCCTCTCCTAATATGAATGCCTTATTGTTGTTATTCTTCATGCCCTGACAGAGTATTTACAGCCTCTGCTGTTGCTCTGCTTCTATCTGGTGGATTAAGGAAAGTCACAACTCACAGCCCTAGTGGAAAGTTACAACTGGGATTTGAGCTAACGAAGAGTTGAAGACTCAGCAACAGGCGCTTGGCTTCACTATTAACCTGGACAAGGCCATTAACTCGCCTGTACTTAATTGGCTTGTTCTGTGACACACTGTTGCCCCAGAAACACCCATATGGGTGTACCCCACATTAAAGAAGCCCGCTCTATGAAAACCGAGACTTGTTGAAAAGATAAATGGGAGTTAATTATTTAATTAACCACAAAAGACTTTGCTCTGAAAAATGGGATTTCTGGATAGCTAGTTTCAAAATAATACTGAAAATTTTGATTCTGGGAGAAAGGGAGGATACAAAAATGTGTCAGTTCTTTTTTGGTCCATCTGGGAATGTTCTGGAATAGATTAGATTTCAAGAACTCTGTAATGATGCTTCAGAGGGAACTTGTGAAATCTGAATTGGGTTGGGGGTTGTTTATGGTGGATATATTTGGGGTGCCTGCCAAGGCCCTGTCCGACCTCTGAGAGTCTAGTCCCTCACCACCTAATGGAAGGAGGAGGTATGTCTAAGCCGTCATGTCTATGCCACCTAACTCCATCCCCCCATCTCCCACTACTGACTGTATCAAAAGTAAACTCCTCACCAGGAACCAATCCATAGGCCCAGTCTGTGAGCCAACCAACTTGTCTGTCAAATGTGTGAACTAAGAGACACATAACTACACTTAGATAGTGCTTGGCATTTGACCTGAAAGATCATGTACAGCCGGGTTGGGGCAGTGACTTTAATGCTGTGTACTGTCTCTTAGGAAGGCAGAGAGAAGGCATGCTAGTCTGTAAAGGGAAAAGGGGACTGAGTTGACATGCAGTGGCGGGCCTGGCTATCTTGATCTCCCGTTGCTGGGTGCCCACCGGATTGCCTACTATATACTTTGAATAAGCACGTCTGGAGCCCCAGTCAATGAGGATTTCAAACTGATCTCAACTTATCCACCTTGATCAGGAATAAGACCTTATTTTTATTCCACTCACTACTCTCAGTGGGTTCAGTGGTCTCAGCTGGTCACCTGTCCAAGAAGGCTTTTGTCCTGCCCATTGTTGTGGGGTGGGCATGATGGGGGGAGGGTGTTAGCCATGGGACATGTCACTGCAAACTGGATGATTATTGAGGTCTGGTGGTCCTTGCCAGACAAGAGAGATGATTTGGTTGTGACTGAAGAAATCCCAAGCTCCTTGGAGCAAACCTAGTGGAGCCTGTGATTTTCATTCTCCCACTGTGCTGCCCGGGAGTAAATGCAGTCCTTGCTTTATTTCCCTACGGAGTAACTGACTCGTTTCTTGCTGAGCAGGCTGGGGATAGCAGTTGGGGGAGAGAGGTTTTTAGGATGCAGCAGAGAAATTTGATGAGTACAGAAGTATGGTGTGAACCCACCATTAAATGCCCCAAATGTTACTCTACCCCATTATCTTAGGCGGTTCTATTCTTTGCAACCAAACGTGGCCTACAACACATCAACACAATAGTCTTCTATTGCTTTCCCTCCCTTCCCTCTTGAATTTCTATAGGTAGCAGAAATCCAATCTTACTACCCAGGAGTCCTGGGAATATCATATCCAAATTTACACTGCGGCCCAATCAAAATCCATCATGCCTAGGGGTTTAGCAATGGGGCTTTGTATATTCATAAGTCATTAGAGAAACAACCAACTTACATTCCACTATTATGAGAGTTTCTTATAAAAGGGGTTGGCTATCCCTTTGTCCCCTTCACCTAATCCCTTTCTCCTTTTTAATTCCACCTGGTTGAACCACCTCTATTTGCCAGGCATTTCCCCTTCAGTTAATAGTATCCATTGTGCAGGCTTTACTCATGTTTTCGATATGCCAGCCATTGTGCAAAATGATTTGCAGGTAGCACGCTGTTCAATTGTCACAGGCCCCTTCATTGCAGCTACTAATGACGATTCCCATTTTACAGATGGGGAAATTGAGAGGCTAAGTCATCCATCTGACTCCATAGCCTGAAATTTTTTGGCCACTCTGCTTTACTACTGCTCTGGCTTCCCTGGGTTTCCTTCTGCCATTTTCAGTAACTAGGGGAGAGAAGGTCCAGGTGTCCTGCCTGGCAGCAGGGCCCCCGGAACTTGGCTCTTTTCTGGCCTCCTTTCCAGCTAGCACAGCTGCCAATCTGGAACACAGCCCTTTCCAAGAAAGCCCAGGAGAGAAGCCAAATGTTGACTCACCTGCCAGACTCGGGGATGCTGCTGCCAAGATGCCTCAGGGCCTGTGCAGGAGGGCTGGCAGGGCTGGCCCATTGTGGGGCCTGGCAGGGGCAGCTTCAAAGGGCCAGGCCTTCTTTCCTGAGTGCTTCAGGTTCCAGAGGCTAAAGAGATCCAGATGGGTTCCTCCCCTCCTCCTTCTGCCCCATCCTTCAGCCCTGGAAGTTTCTGAAAGAGAATGTCTCCTCTACATCTCCCCTTGGGTGGCAGGCAAAATTCTAAGGAAGCACGCAAGACTTTCTGCCGTCTCACCCCACCCCACTGTGTGTACCCTGCTTAATCCCCAGACCTGTGAATATGCTGGATTTTGCTCCCATGATTAGGTGATGTCCTATGGCACACTTGATCCTAAGAAGGGGAGATTATTCAAGGAGGCCTGATCTAATCCTAGAGTTTTCTCTGACTGGTGGCAGAAGAGGAAGTGAGAAGTTGGAAGCAGGAGAAGAATTTGACCCAGGCTTTCTGGCTTGAAGTTGAAAGGAGTCCTGCAGTAAGGACTATGGGAAGCTTCTGGAAGCTAAGAGTGGCCCATAGCTGACAGCCACCAAGGGAACAGGGAGCTTGGGCCCACGCATGCAAGGAACAGAGTCTTCCAACACAGAGAATACATTTGCAATGAGATGCTTCCTCAGAGCGTTCACACAGGACCCTAGGCCAGCTACCACCTGATTTCAGCCTTCTGATAACCTGCCCAGAGAACTCAGTTGAGTCTACCTGGACTACTGACTTCCAGAACTATGAGCTAATACATGGGCATTGTTTTAGCTGCAAAGTGTGGGGTAATCTGTTATCCAGTCACAGAAAATGAGTGTACTTCAGATATGTAACAGGCATTTCAAACCCTACATGTCCAGCTATTCCCCACTTGAGTCTTCCCCAGGTGGTCAGTGGTAGCTTTATTCTTCTTGGCATAGGCCCCAAATCTTCAAGTCGGTCTTGCCTCCTCTCCTTCTTGTAACTCTTTGTTGAATTCATCAGCAAGTTCTTTTCACTCTCCCTTCATACTGTCTCCAGACTCTGACTACTCACCACCCCCGATGACCTGTTCCTTCTCTTTTCTGCCCTGACAGCACAGTAGTTCATTACTGAAATGGCCAAGTCCTTGCCCCTCCCTGGCAGGAGGCAAGGACACTCCTGGATGATGGTTGGCTGGCCTCCTCTTCAGCTTCTGTACCCAACCCATTGGGGTGGCTGATAAATTCAAACACAGACACAAAGCAGAGGGTGGCAGAAGAAGGGGGCTCCCATGTGGAGGCCTAATGGGGAGCAGCAGACATTTGAGTTCTGGCTACCCTTGGGCTTGGTAGGCTCACAGAGCCGGCTGCCTGGCATGTTTCCAGATATAACACAGTTGTCACCCAGGAGGAGTTCCCAAGCCTCCTTCAGAATCAATTATGTTCAGGAGTCATGCTGTGGAATACTTTCTGGGGATCAGGATTTTATTTATTGTTCAAGGTTTTGAGCCAAGAGTGAAAAATTGTTGTTGATGATGATGGGGGAATTCCCAGGAGGCCCAGAAGAACTCACAGGCAACCAGCCTCCTGGAGTCACTAAGATGAATGGCTGTCAAGTCAGCCAGAGTGCGAGGCCAGCTTGTCCTTCCTCGATGGCTTTTCTGGGCTCTCAGTCTCTTCAGTGAGGATCAGAGAAGATACATTTTCTTGTTTGGTCAAACCTTTAGCACAGTACTGGGCGTACGGTAAGTTCTCATCAGATGGTGGTGGTTATGACTGATATATTGACTGTAATTTACTTCTAAACATAAAGCATATTTCATACACCATGTCTCTGTGCACATGTATGCATGGGGTGTGTGTGTATGTGTTAGCTTTCATCTACATTGTAGGGGCTGTTAACATTCGAAAGATCACAACCCCACACTCCAGAGGAAGGTACCATAAGTGCTTCAATTATCTGTCCTAGCTCAGCATCCATGGGTGTGTTAATTAGCATAATGGATTTCTAAAATGGTTTTTCATTGATGAAAAGAATGGCGTTCAAGAATGGTAGATGGCTGGAAATGTTTCATAGTGCGTTTGCCTTGCCTGAAGACATTATAAATAAGTCTAGCCAGACCAGTTGCTTATTCTTTTAGAAAGGCTCCAGCCTTGGAAGTCCAAACAGTCCTATGTCTATATATTAAAGGGTTGATTTGATCACCTGCCTGACTAGGCTAGATACTGCGCTGACAATAGTGTCACGTGTGCCTTGACTACACTTTTTGTGAAAGAGGCTGTCGAAGTGTCTAAAGTGAGAGGGCTGACATGTCCCCGGGTTAACAGAATGGGTGGTGTGGCTGTTTATGTGCCTGCTTGCTGGCCTTGAAACCAGTTAGCAAAATGTGGAATTTGGTCTGAGACAGACTGTCTTTGTAACATACTATCTGATTAGGTGATCGGGGGAGGTAGCTTGTAGCCTTCATGGACTTCTTACCTATTGCAGGAAGCCATCATGATCAAACACCTAGTAGTTTGAATAGCCAAATTGCTTAGGCTAGTTTGCAACAACTACTTTAAAATAAGTAAGATAATTACAACTGGAACGAGGAATAACTGGTTTCCTTTAGCTTAGAAAAGACATGTTACAACAAGAAGTCAGGAAAGTATGAGTATAAACCTCTGTATAGCATGTCCTGGGGTGAGTTCTGGTGCCATTTTAGATGATGGTCAATCTTGAAATGTGTGTGTGTGTGTGTAGACAAACAGATGAGCAGGTAGATGATAGGAGAAGAGGAAGGTGAATGGAGAATTACAATTCTATTTTTCTCTCAAGAAAAGAAACGCCATGGAACCTTCTAGAAGTGGTGTGGCTGAATGTGATAAGCTGGAGTTTGGACCTCAGACCAGGATTCGGATGCTGCCTCTCTTTCTTTCTAAGGGGCCTCAGGCTAGCTTCTTAAGTTCTCTGAGTCCACTTTGTCATCTACAAAATGGGTATTGGAATACTTCCCTTGAGTTGTGATTAAAGTAACTGGCCTTGAAACCACTTAGCAAAACGTCAGGCACAAAGTGAGCCTTCAATAAATAATTTCCTCCCGGAATATTTACAGAGCATTAGGACTCTGCACACAGTATCTGGGTTATAGTAGCAAATAAGGCATATAGATTCCTAGAGCTCACAAACTCACAGTGATGATGAACTTCATTAAGGAGACACACGAGGACCCCCTGGCGTGTTTGTTAAAAAGGCAGATTCTAAGTATCAAGACCTCCTGAATCTGAGGATAAGTGGGTGGGGCCAGGAACCCATTTATAATAAGCTCTGCAGGTGATCGAATGGGCGGCCAGGTTGGGGAACCACTGACTTAACCACTGTAATTCTCTACTGAAGCCTTGGTTTGGCAATGCTCCAGTCTCCCTTCAAAGGCTCTTCAGTCATGAGTTTGAACTGACTGCACCCACAGTGATGGGAAGTGCTGCCCTCTTCCTACCCTGAACCGCTCCACTGCAGGGGGTGGGGCAGAGAGAGTTACCCCTTGTCTTGCTTATTTTATAGGCAGTGCTCATACATCATTATCAGAAACTTCAAAGACTTCACTGAGCATCGAATTGACAGGCTACAACTTGAATTATGAAGTCTTCAGTAGCTAAATCTCTAAACTTGGAAAGCCTCTGCTCCTCAGATCATCACCTAAAAACAATGAACATCTAGTCTGGAGACTGCTATTGTCTGCATGTGACTTAGGAACCATTTTTTTCTGTTCTTCCCCTCCTTAGAATAATATATCATATATACATACCAGTAGAAAATTCAGGTAATATAGTACTGGCACAGAAAATAAAAAATAGTAATCCAGCCCTCCTGAGATAATCACCATTAATATTATTTGGTATACTTCCTTCCAGTTTTTTTTTTTTTTTTTTTTGAGACAGAGTCTAGCTCTGTCACCGAGGCTGGAGTGCAGTGGCTCAATCTTGGCTCACTGCAACCTCCACCTCCCAAGTTCAAGCAATTCTCCTGCCTGAGCCTCCTGAGTAGCTGGGACTACAGGGGTACACCACCACACACAGCTAATTTTTGTGTTTTTTAGTAGAGACGGGGTTTCACCATGTTGGCCAGGCTGGTCTCAAATTCCTGACCTCAAGTGATCCGCCTGCCTTGGCCTCCCAAAGTGCTGGGATTACAGGCATAAGCCACCATGCCTGGCCTTCCTTTCAGTCTTTTTTCTTTGTATGTGAGTACATGTATTTTGTTGTTGTTGTTCATAAAATCAAGATCGTACCATAAGTGCTATTTTTTGAATTGCTCTTTTCATTTCATAACATGTTTTAAAGTAAAAAGTTAATATTTTTTAATGCAATTAAATATTCCTCTTTAACAGTGGTTTTTCACACTGGGATGGACGAAACCCTCAGGGTTCCTTAGATGTACCTACTGCTTACCTGGGGTGGGGAAAGGAGTTGGGTGGGGGGAGTTCCAGGCCCTAGAGCCCAGTTTTCATCACAGCAGTTCCACTCATATCAGGTTGTAACTGGAATACTATGTAGGATTCCATCAGAAACTTAAAAAATTTGTAAACTATTGCCCTAAATTATCATTAAAATGTTTTTAAACCATTTCTTTCCTTCTTTTTAAAAAACTTAAATGGAATGACTCTTTAAAAATTATAAAACAAATATTTGCTGATAGTTTTAAAAAGCTCAGGTTTTTATTATATATTTTTAAAAATGATATATGTTCTTTGTAAAAATGTCAGATACAGATTTGATGACAAACCTACCTTTACTTCCTCCTCCAAATACCCAAGGAGTCCAGCACTGCCCCACTGCCCACCTTTAGAGGGCTCAGCTCACAGAGAATACCCAGTTAAGCCAGGTGTGGTGGCCCACACTTGTAATCCCAGCACCTTCATATCCACTTCGGAAGGATCACTTGAGGCCAGGAGTTGGAGACCAGCCTGGGCAACATAGTGAGACCCCATGTCTATTAAAAGAAAAAAAACCCAGTTAAGATTTATGTCTCATTCCAGACTCTTCCCAGCATAGGGATTATTCCGTAGGTCGAGGTACCCCAGAAGCCAACCTGAGACTAGGATTTCGGTGCAAGTGTTTTATGTGGGAGGCAAGCTGACCACTGTCCTGGTTTGCCTGGGGCTGGGGGTTCCCAGGATGAGGTGTTTGCCCTCTGTCGGGAGATAATCCCAGGAAGCACTGATGGAGAAGTGGGGAAGTGAGATGGACAGGGCTGGGAAGCCTGTGATTAACAGGTTAGCCCCATGCACAGCTGAGCTCAGTCCTGTTTGGGACCTGTGGGGGGCGCTCTAGAACACCCTCCCCAAGGTGCTTTTTCTCCCGTAGGGCGTCCCTGCCTGGTTGCAGGCTCCCCCTGACTTCAGGCCTGCCCACCTCCTGCAGTCCTAGAGAGGCCTGGGCAGAGAGCCCCAGGAGCACCAATGCCAAGAGGGTAGCGGCAGAGCGCCAGTAGCATCTGCTATGAGAGTATTTCTGTACATATATTTAAAAAAAATAAAAATAGGATCACTCCATTTTTGATTTACTGGCACCTTGATTTATGTAAGGTGTCTGAAGGAAAGACATTCTAGACCACAAATCTAATACGGCAGTCATTTCAAGGGTCCAGGCTTGGAATTGCCCTTGGGTTAATTATATCAGAGGCTGATCATGTAAATGACTAGCATTGGAATCGGATGAAATGGTATCACTACTACTTAAAACAAAAAACAAAAAACCTCCGATGAGTTCTCTGCTGGATTCAGTTCAAAATTGTCCGCTGAACCACTGGAAGAAACTAACAATGGAAGTCTAGTGATTCCAATTCTTCTAGCGCTTGCGGTCAGCCCAAGTCCCCGCAGGAGCCCACGTGCTAATCCCGGGTCCTGACAGCCATGGACGAGGCCCGGCGGTGCTCACGGGGGGCCAAGGGCTGCCCCGGTGCAGGAATTCAGGTGTGTGCGACCGCAGGCGGCGCCGGCCTCCCCGCTGCAAGGACAGCAGCTCCTTGATTGCTCTGTCTAAACAAGGGAGCGAAGGCATAAGTTCCTTTTGTCACCCCGTTTCCATGGTTATTTGACACGTGATCGTCTTTTTTGGCGTCCTCCCGGCAAAATCGCGGTAGGTTTGGCTAATACATTCCTGTCTGTGAAGGAATGGGAGGGGTCCAATTACCCTTCCGGAGAGCCTCGGGTTGTTCCACAGAACAATTTTGGAGGTGTATTTCTTCCCTAATGGGTTTAGGAACCCCAACCCTGATTTGTCAAAACGGATGCTGTTGAAAATTTGAACTCTGATAGGATTGAAGGCAATTTGATGATATAAAGGAATCATTTTTTTTTTAAGTTGCGTTCATGGTACTGTGTTTTAAAAGACCATTCTTAGCCTTTAGAAACACACACTGATATTTACAGATGAAATGATAGGATCTCTGAGATACGCTTCAAAATATGTGGTAGGGATGGGCCAAGCCGAATTTGCCATGGGTCCGAGAGTGTTTACGGTCCTGTTCTGTCTACTTATATATATATATATATGTTTGACGTTTTCTATAAATGCAAACATTTTTGTTAGTGTAAAAAGATGGTGGCTGAAAAGCAAATCTGCTTTTGTTTTCAAAGGTCATGATAAGGATTGAGTGAATGAATGTGGCTGCAGGATAAACTCTGAAATGTTGTAGGAGAGTAATATGCCAGAAAATTCTAACCTGTGGATAATGATGATGGAGGTGGTGGGAGTGTGTGTGTCGGGGGTGGGGGGGTGTGGGTCAGAGTTATTGCAGGGCAGCTCTTAGGGTCTCAGACAGAACTGTCCACCTATGACTAGGCAGGGTAGAATTTTGAGATATTAACCATACTCCAACCCCAATTTGTGAAGCCAGACAATTTGCCTGTATTGTATATGGGAAGAAAGGGTGCTACAGAATTCAGAGAATAGAAAGATTAAAGTTTTGGCTTTTTGTTTAATAAATTTTTCGTAGAGACAGGGTTTTCTTGTGTTGCCCAGGGTGGTCTTGAACTCCTGGGCTCAAGTGATCCTCCCACCTCAGCCTCCCAAACTGCTGGGATTACAGGCATGAGTCAGCATGCCTGGCCAGTTTTGGCATTTTGAATGTTAAAAGCTACTCTCCAGGCATAAGAAAAAGACTTAATTAGTGAGAGTCATTTTTTCCCTCCCTCCTGTTCCCCCAAAATGGTAGTTAGCTTTAGTTAAGCATTTATGATGGGCCAGGCACTGTTCTAAGCATTCCGCAAATATTGTCTTTTTAAATCCTCTAAGAAGCCCGTGAGATAATCAGTTTTACAGATGGAGAAATCGAGGCACAAACTGGTTAAGTAACTTGCCCAGAGTCCCATAACTCACCTGACTCCAGAGCTTAGCTAATCCCCGGATAGATGAGGGAAGACCAGCTTATCATGGGAGCTGTTGGCTGAGATGGTGGATCAGGGAGGCTAGGCGGAAAGGACCTGAGGAGTCCCAGTGTGGAAGGGAGAGCATGAACCGGGTATGGAAGACTCAAGGAAGCTGCAACCACCCTCGCCTCCCATGCCTGGGTGCTCCTGAGGGCCTCCAGAACTTGGACTCAACCTAAGGGAGACTCAAGGAAATTCTTAAATAACAGTGATTTTGTTTCTCCCACCTCCAGGATCAGGGACCTGATAAAGAAATTCACTTTAGTTGTCAAAAAACTGGAGAAATGTTCACTCATGGTTGAGTTTGCAGCCTGTGATTCTCCATGCATAACAGTGTGATGTGGTTTCTGCTGTTGTGATAAGGCATTCTAAAGGAATCAGGGTCCTGGTTAGAGTATTAGATTTTCAAGTCAAAGTAACCTAGGTTTGAACCCTAACTCTGTCAGTTAGTTGCTATGTGGCCTTGGTGGGAGCCTTAATTTCTTGTCAGCAAAGTAGGGATGAGAGTACTAACTGTGCCCACCAAACAGGGTGGTATAAGCATGAGATGAAAGCCCAGCTCACTGCCTGGCACAAGGAAGGCGGTTGCAGCTTCCTTGAGGCTTCCATACCCGGTTCATGCTCTCCCTTCCACGCTAGGACTCCTCGGGTCCTTTCCACCTAGACTCCCTGATCCACCATCTCAGCCAACAGCTCCCATGATAAGCTGGTCTTTTCTCATCTATCCAGGGATTAGCTAAGCACCCAGGCTCTGGAGTCAGGTGAGTTATGGGACTCTGGGCAAGTTACAAGTACATTGTAACCTGTGTGTCTCAATTCATTGGTGGTATAACAAGAACTGGTTTTATTGTTTCCAACTATTGCTCCTAACCCAGCTTCCATAACATTTTCCATGGCTAAACATCCTTAGTAGTAATTCAGCTGGATTCTGTAATTTACCAGTTCCTTTACTAAAACCATCACTTTAGTTTTTAAAGGCCCTGTCCTGCTCATTTTAATACTTCAGTCTATATTGCTGAAATGGGGGTGTAGTTAAAAAAAAAACCCATGAAAGAAAGAAAGAAAAAAGAAGAAAAAAGAAAGAAAGAAAGAAAAAGAGAAAGAGAAAGAAAAGAAAAGAAAAAGAACGCTTCAGTCTTACATTGGATAGAAAGCCTTTTCCTGCACTTGCCCTGGGGCACGCATGAACTATGATTCCTGGGGTGAGGAGGGGAAGTGAGGATGATTCTCTCATACCCTTTGCCCTCTCTCCTCCTTTTGTTGACTCCTCGAGGGTGGGGGCTGGCAGGAAGGAGAGGAAATGCCTCCCACATCTCTTGCCTGGACCTGCTGGTGAGGCTGTGGGCCTCTCTTTGGTGGCTTAGAGCTTTCATTGCTCCAGGGTTCTGTGGGCTTCATGTCGTTGGCCTTGCAAGGGGCTCACTTCTCAGCATCTCCCAGGGTGTTGTTGGTTCCTTCCTAGACCTGCCCACACCTCCTAGCTGACCCCACCATAATCCTCTCTGTGAGGATGTAGGGTCTTTGCTCTTCTATCTTCCATGGCCAACTTTGGGACCTCTGGGTTTGTATGAACTCCAACTGTACACTTCTGAAAAACTAGGGAACTAGACTGAGCTAGGGACTCTCTTTCTCATGGACTCCATTATGCCATCCCACCCCAATTTTATCATCTTCTTTCTGGTCACACAGAGGAAAGTCAGCAGGTCCTCCCATTAGGAAGTGAAATTCCAATCTTCTTTACCTATGGATACTGCTAGTCATTAGCAGGATACTCTCTGGGTCTCCTCTCCTTTCTTTGGAGGTCACAACACACTTTGTTATCAAAAGGAAAGGAGGAAGGAAAAGGCTTCTCTTCAAAAATACTGCACTATCCCAAAATATGAGGTCCTCTCTCCACAGTGCTGATGGTGGTGGTGGTGACAGTGATGGAGATAGTGCTGGAGGTGATGGTGGAAATAGTGATGATGGTGATGGTGATGAAGGCATTGACGGTGGTGGCTGGTGGAGATGGCGATGAGGGTAGTGGAGGTGGTGGTGGTAGAGGTGGTAATGATGGTGATGGTGGTGGATGTGATGGTATAGATGGTGGTGATGGTAGAGATGTTGATGATGGTGATGGTGTTGAAGGCATTGACTGTGGTGGCTGTGGTGGAGATGGTGATGAGGGTAGTGGAGGTAGTGGTGGTAGAGGTGGTAATGATGGTGATGGTAGATGTGATGACACAGGTGGCAGGGATGGTGGAGATGCTGCTGATGGTGATGGTGATGAAGGCATTGATGGTGGTGAGGGTAGTGGAGATGATGGTAGTAGGGGTGGATGTGATAATACAGATGGTGGTGATGGTAGAGATGTTGATGATGGTGATGGTGATGGTGGTGAAGGCATTGACGGTGGTGGCCATGGTGGAGATGGTGGTGAAGATAGCGGAGGTGATGGTAGTAGAGGTGGTAATTGTGGTAAGGGTGGTAGAAGTGATGGTGGAGGTGGTGATTCTCCTACAGTTACCCCAAATAAAGCCCTGAGGGAAGGTAGCTGGTCCTTTTGATTCTCAAGGGTCAGAGCTCTGAATTTGGAAGATGGGTATCCTTTGTCTTCAGCTCTGGGCCTTAGCAGAAATTTCAGAACAACAGGAAAAATCCCACTCAGCCATTAACACAGTCCAGTTACATTAGGTGTAGTGCTACCAATAAAAGTAATTCTTCCACAGTTCTTTTAAAGTGGTACTGAAAATATGGTAGCTTCTTGTTATTTCCTCAGCCAACAGAAGCTGAAGTACAACTACTACAGTGTAAAGGTCTATAACAGTTCTTGGCATTGGAAGAGAGTTCTTTATATCTGAAAACTTTCGAACTAGTGCTCTGACTGGGTTGCTCACAGTCTCTTCTTGGGCTGGGTGAGAGGTCTTTTGAACTTGGGGTATAAGCTGTTGTCCCAGAAGGAGCACAAGTGAATAAATGATCAATAAGAGGCTGAAACAAGAACTCTGGCCTTGCTAACTCTACAGTCTGGTCAATGGGATGAAGCAAGATGGAGGTGGTTACCTAGATGAGGAGGAAAGTTAGGCTCCTGGTTTTCTTTACTAGTGCCTTATGATGAGTTAATTTCTCTCTGTACAGCTAGGACTTCCTGTAGGCCAAGGTTTCTTGACCTTGGCACTATTGACATTTGGGGCTAGATAATTCTATGTTGGGGATTGGCTGGGGCGGGGCTGTGCTGTGCATTGTAGGATGTCTAGCAGCATCCCTGGCCTCTACCCATTAGATGCAAGTAGCACCCTCCCTACATTGTGACAACTTTACATGTTCCCAGACATTGCCAAATTTCCTTTGAGGGGATCCTTTGAGCACTGCCACTGTAGATCCTACCCAGGCCAAGGCTGCCCCTTCTCTGGGAAGGGTCTGGGTACTGATGCAGCAGATATGATTTTTATTTTATTTTATTTTTTGTAGAGATAGGATCTTATTTTGTTGCACAGGCTAGTCTTGAACTCTTGTCCTTAAGCAGTCCTCCTATCTCGGCCTCCCAAGGTGCTGAGATTACAGGAATGAGCCAGCCTAGGTTTGATGTTTTTGAGCCATGTATTCAAGTCATATAGCAAATTTAACTCTCTCACTCTCTCTCTCTCAATCTCTCTCTCTCTCTCTCTCTATATATATATATACACATGAGGTTTTTTTGTTTTGTTTTGTCTCTTTTGTTTTGAGATGGATTCTCGCTCTGTGGCCCAGGCTGGAGTGCAGTGGCACGATCTTGGCTCACAGTAGCCTCCACATCCTGGGATCAAGCGATTCTCATGCCTCAGCCTTCCAAGTAGCTGGGATTACAGGTGCCCGCCATCACTCCTGGCTAATTTTTGTATTTTCAGTAGAGATGGGGTTTCGCCGTATTGGCAAGACTGGTCTCAAACTCCTGAACTCAAGTGGTCTGCCTGCCTCAGCCTCCCAGAATGCTGGGATCACACGCATGAGCCACCATGCCTGGCCAACATTCTTTATATTTCTGTTCCCCATTTCTATAACTCATTTATATATATCACCCTTTGAGCCCTCATTCTTCCTGTTGGCATCTGTGGGGAAATGCTCTCTTTTTAAGTTTAAACTCAAGTCAATTCAGGATCCTTTTATTCTCTTTCCCTCCTGTACTGATCAAAGATTTACGGGGTTTCTGGCATTGGTGAGGGAGTGGTGGGAACTAATTTCTGATCTATGCCACTATCTTCTGAAATGTGTGATCCTTCTGGATGGTTCCTTGTGTGGGGGACTCTCGTATTGATTTCTGTGTCGTCTGAACCAATGGATATGTCTGTTCTCATCTTATTTGATTCCATTTGATTCCTTCCTTCCTCCTCTACTGACTTTATTCTGGTTTCTGTGACCCCATAGACCCCAGGTTTTCTTCCCACTTTACTAGCTATTCTTTCTTTGCCTCTGTGGCTAAATCTTCCTTCCCCTTATCTCCAAATATCAGAGCACCCTGGATTTCAGTCCAGAGCCCCATTTTCTTCCCTATCTAAACATTTCTCTTTAAATCCATGGCTTCAAATGTCATGCTTTTCCCATAACTCCCACATCTCTCCAGCAGTGACCCTGCCTTATGTCCCTCATCCTTATAGTCGACTGTCCACTTGATATTTCCGCTTGGATATCTTACTGATGCCTCAAACTTGACATGGTTAGAACCACTCTTGTTTTCTTTTCTCTAAACCCGCTCCTGCTCCCCAGTCTTCTCTATCTTAGAGAATAGTGTGCCATCAGCTCAGTTCCTCAAGCCAAAGATCATTTAATTATTTTCAGTCTTCATTTCCCTTCCCTAACACATTCCATCTAGCAAGATCTGACTTCGACTTTATCTCCAAAACAACATGAATCAGTTCACCGAATTTTCACTGCTACCACCTTGGTCCAATTAGCCATCATCTCTTGCTGACATTACCACAACAGCTACCTGACTGAAGTTTCCTTGCTTTTATTTTTGCTCTGATCATCCTACGAATCATTCCCCATGCAGCAGCCAGAATAAGCTTTACAAAATATAGAAATCATAAGATCATGTCACACTCCTACTTAAACTTTCTTTTTTTTTTTTTCCACTCTGTCGCCCAGGCTGGAGTGCAGTGATGCGATCTTGGCTCACTGCAACTTCTGCCTCCCAGGTTCAAGCAATTCTCCTGCCTCAGCCTCCTGAGTAGCTGTGATTACAGGTGCCCACCCCCACACCCGGCTCACTTTTGTATTATTAGTAGAGATGGGGTTTCACCATGTTGGCCAGCTGGCCTCAAACTCCTGACCTCAGGTGATCCACTCACCTCAGCCTCCCAAAGTGCTGGGATTACAGGCGTGAGCCACGGTGCCCGGCCACCTGCTTAAACCTGATTGCTCCTAATCACACTTCAGATAAAATCCTGACTGCTGGCTGGGTGCAGTGGCTCATTGGCACTTTGGGAGGTCAAGGCAGGAGGATCATTTGAGCCCAGGAGTTTGAGACCAGCCTGGGCAACATAGTGAGACCCTGTCTCTACGAAATTTTTAAAAATTAGCCAGATGTGGAGGCATGCACCTGTAGTCACAGCTACTTGGGAGGCCATGGTGGGAGGACCACTTGAGCCTAAGAGGTCAAAGCTACAGTGTGCCAGCCTAGGTAACGAAGTGAGACCCTGTCTCAAAAAAAAAAAAAAAAAGAAAGAAAGGAAGAAAGTTAGGAAAAAAGGAAGGAAGGGAGGGAGGAAGGAAAAGAAATCCATCCTCACTGCATATGCTGGCTTACAGGCCCAGCCTGATCAGCCCCTGTCAACCGCTCCAGCATCATCATCTACCACACCACCCTTTGCTCCATTGAACTTCGGCCACACTGGCTGTTTTAATGATCTACTGCGGCAAGACAAACCATCCTGAAACCTAGTGGCTTGAAACAGCAACTGTGGATTATTCCTCATGATTCTGTGAATTGGTGGAGCTCAGCTGGGAGGTTCATCTCTGTTCTACTCTGATGTTGGTGGAGGTGACTCGTGGCCTCATTTGGCCTGGACTTTTGCAGGAACTGGAGCAACCTCTCTCACATGGAGGACACCTGGACATCTCTTTCTCTCCACCTTGTCTCTGGATCCCTTTACATGCTGGCTCAGGAATCCAGGTGAGTGAAATTGGGAATTGCCAGACTTCTTAAGGCCTTAGCGTGGAGCTGAAATGTTACTACATCTGCATTCTACTGGTCAAAGCAAGTAACATGGTATAACCAGAGTCAAAGAGGTGGGGGGAGTGGCAAATAGACTAAGATGTGGCCATCCTGAATCTGCAGGCCTGACCTTCTTTCTGTTCCTTGCTCGTGACCAGTTCATTCCTTCCTTGGGACCCCTGCACCTGCTGCCCCTTGGCGGGGATTTTCTCCTCCTTGATCTCAGCATTGCCGGCATCGTCTCGTCATTCACATCTCAGCTCACATGCCATCTCTTAAGAGGTGACCATCCAATGAATAAAGTCACCAGTTACTATCATGTTACCCTTTAAATATTCTCTGCAGAGCATTACCACTCTGTTTGTTGGTTTGTTTATTTGCTTATCAGTTGTCTCTTTTCCCTGGAATGAAAACCCCATGATGGCAGGAACCTGGCTATTTTGTTTACACTGTATTATCTTTAGCCCCTACAACACCTGGTACAGAGCAGGCAGAGGCCCCCAGTTAATATGTGTTGAAATAAATAAATGATAGAGGCCTCTCTACCATTTGGAAGTGAAGAACCTGGGAATCACTCAGGTCTGGGTTCTTATTATTTGCTGTGTAACCCTGAGGACATTATCTAACTTCTTTGTGCTTCAATTTCTAAAACAGAGTGAGAATTAAGAGTGCCTACCTCATCCTCATGGGGGAGTTGTAAAGACCAATGAAAATGATCTATATCTAACTTATCAAATGATCTGGAACTTGGTAAGCCCTTATTATCATTTATTTTTAGATTTTATTTTTAATTGACACATAATCATATATATGTATAGGGTATAATGTGAGCTTTCATGGATATGTTCTGTAGGGATCAAATCATATGTAGCATTTTTATCACCACACACATCAGTTCTTTGTGGTGAAAACATTCAAATTCCTCCCGTCTACCTTTTTTAAAATATACAATACATTATTGTTAACTATAGTCACCTTACTGTGCATTAGAACACCAGAACCCATTCCTCTTACCTACCTATAACACTGTACCCATTGTCCAATATCTTCCCCTCCCTCCATCTCCCCTACCCTGCCCAGCCTCTGGTAACCTTTATTCTACTCTCTACTTCTATGAGCTCCACATATGAAGGAGATCGTGTGGTATTGTCTTTCTATGCCTGGCTTATTTCACTTAATGTTACTCCAAGTTGTTGCACATGGCAGGATTTCATTCTTTTTTATGGCTGAATAGTATTCCATTGTGTATATGTACCACATTTTCTTTATCAATTCATCTGTTGATGGGCACTTAGGTCACTGATTGTGAACAGTGCTGCAATAAACACAGGAGTGCAGATACCCCCTTGTAATTTCGTAATTTTAATTAATTACTTTAATGCAAACACTAACTTACTCCCTCCTTCTTATCTCCCTTCCCTGAGCTCCAAAGGCAGGAGAGAAACCAGTAGAGAAAAATTCCATGTAATTCCAGAAAGCAAGAATCACATTTCGTTGCTATCTTTAAAATAGCTTCAAGTGACTGCCTGCTGGCTCCAGCCACAGAGCAGGAGATGGGATAAGGAGATGGGTCCTTATGTTGTTCTTGGTGGTGGAAGGTGGGTCAGTCAAGGTCTGGGCCCCACTCTCTGCTTCTTACAGAAACGTGGAGCTCCTGAGCTGCAAGGGTCTGGCAGGCTTCTAAGAAGTTCCCTGTTGATTTGAATCCTGCTGAAGGCTGTGCTGGACTTCTCTAGTTTGTCCCAATTAGAGTCTTTTGAAACCACTGTACTTAATTTACCACCTAATTACTCTTACCTTGTTTGTTTAATGAAGCTTACATAATGATTCTGGTGATCTGTACAAAACCTTAGGTGGAGATTTTACTTTTCACTTGATAATTTGTGATTTTTATATTAATGTTTTATAACCTTGGGTTCTTAATCATAAAGTCATAAGGAGCTTAATTGATTTGAAACTAACCATGCCCTGAAGTGTGTACATGTCAAATTGATTCAAATTGATCCAGTGAGTTTAAATAAAGCTTAGGCCAGGGAGCATGATGACACCTGATAGAAATTTTCCTAAAGCACTTGACTTGGGGGACTCAATTATGCTGCCATCTCCACACAGTAAATTATTAGATAAATACTGTTTTTTTTTCCATTTATCACAGACTGAAAAGATAGGACAGTTCAAAGAAAAAAAAACACTAGGAAAAGTTAGATAAGTGTAAAATGTTCTATTTATAATTCTTCCTTCTGAAAAGCCGCAGAGAACTCACATTTTAGAGCATGCTGGTTTGAAATATATATATGTTTACAGGCTTTGTTTCAGAGCCTGATAGTCAACATCACAGTCTCAAGTTGAAAATGGTTGGAAATGAAGCACTGATAATAGAAGCACTGGAAAAACACAAGCCTTGTCCGGGATGAGTGATCCTTCTTCAGGGGTGATCAATTCAAGCACTTTCCCAAAGAGAACTTTCTCTGAGCAGATGAACTCACAGGAGAAATCCTCAGCTTTCCAGGACAGGGTGCTGTTCCACATTTCTGCCAAATGACAGGCCAATTTAGTTCTAATTGGCCCTAATTGGCACTTCTTCCCCTGAGAGGCTACATTCTTGTACCTGCCTTCCAGCAGTCCTCACAAAGGTGTGAAATCCCTTTCTGGCTTTGAAAAATATCAGACATAATTTCCCAGTGGATCCCTTTATACCCAATGAAACTGATTGCTGGGCCCGGGGAGATGAGCCTGACTCCAGAAAGATGTAATTCCCAGGGCTCAGGGCTCCCTGAGGTCCCAGCAGTGAACAGCCGCACGAAATTCTGCTGTAATTGATCTCTCCAAAAACATTTTCCTTTGTAAGCAGTTCCGATGGTTCCTGACTTTCTTTCATATCTCCAGTTGCCATTTCTTGCAAGTCAGTCATTTTGTTTTACTCTTTTTAAGAATTTTTATAGAAATATGTCTTGGACTTGAATGTCTGCAGTCTCTTGTGTCCTGCCTCACTGGTGCTGCCCTGCTCAGTGGGAACGCCGTGCCAGCTTCCTAATGAGCCTCCTTGTCTTAGTCTCATGTTCTAGAGCATCCTCTTTGCTGCATGTCCCTTGAAGATGGTGTCCCTGATTGCATCTTTCACCCCAGTGCGCCCAGGGCTGAGCACAGCATTTGACATGCAGCACATGCTCAGTAAATACTTTTAAAAAATTTTTTCACGTGGAGGTAAATAAGGTGTCCAAACCTTAGGTGATATCACAAAAGACTTTTTTACTCATGTAATCACCACCTGCCTCAAATATAGAATGTTCTTAGCAACCCCAGGGAGCCTCTTCATGTCCTCTCTCAGTTAAATCCCCAACCCTAATCCATTCTGGAAATAACCACCATTCTGGTTTTATCACATTGCATTACATTGATTTTGCCTGTTCTTGACCTTTCTGTGTGGAACTGTTCACTGCTATGGTGGCCATAAAAATGCATCTCCCAGACTTCTGGTTGCTGGGATTGACCCACAGTCGGTTTTGCTGGGCTCTAAAATCCATCAGAACATTTGGGCAGGGAAATCTTCCCACAGGCTGCTCCTCCCTTGGACTGGGTATAGCAGGGATGCTAGTGCGGGCCCATTCCCAGGAGGTAGGGAACTCCTCTGACAGCAATTTTGGCTCAAGGACTCCCAACGGGCCTTGCCAACCTTCCTTAGAACTGCACTGTAGGCCGGGCGCAGTAGCTCACGCCTGTAATCCCAGCACTTTGGGAGGTCGACGTGGGAGGATCACTTGAGATCAGGAGCTCGAGACTAGCCTGGCCAACATGGTGAAACCTCATCTCTACTAAAAATACAAAAATTAGCCTGCTGTGGTGGTGGGTGCCTATAATCCCAGCTGCTCTGGAGGCTGAGGCAGGAGAATTGCTTGAACGTGGGAGGCAGAGGTTGCAGTAAGCTGAGATCGTGCCTCTGCACTCCAGCCTGGGTGACAGAGTGGAAAAAAAAAAAAAGAAAAAGAACTGCCCTGCACTGTAGTCTAAGATGTTCCCATCCAATGTTCCTTCTTTCCCTCTTTCCTTCCTGAGGGGCAGACCTGCATCTCAGTTTGATGATTTCCTGCTTCTCCTGGCTCCCTCCTCATCTTCCCTCTCAGGTGTTTCTCTTAATACAGCTCTTGGACATTTAATCCTGGCATCTGCTTCTTGGATTGACACAAATGTGAACTCTTCTCTGAAGCCTTCACTAGGCCCATGATTTTCACTCATGTTGCATGTAGCAATCATGTATCCTTTTCATTTATTGCCGTGTGGGATTCCAGTGCAAGAGTATGTGCACAGTTTAGCTCTCTTAGACCTGATGGGCATTTCGGCTGTGACCGGTTTTTGGCTCTCATGAATAAAGCTGCTAGGAGCATTCTTGGATTCCTCTCTTGGTGGACATGTGCATTCATTTCTCTTGGGTGTGTACTTGGTAGTGAGAGTGTTGGCTTGTAGGGTAATGGATGTTTAGTATTAGATAGTATTAGATACTTCAGTACAGCTTTCCAAAGTAGTTGGACCAGTTTGCTTTCCCATGCTCATAAGGTATTTACTGAATAAGTGAACTCTAGCCAGAAGCATCTTTTAAGGACTTAACTTTGTCCCAGTCACTACCCTGATTAGACACACACACACACACACACGTGTACACACACACAGCTTTCCATAGTGCCCCATTGTTATAATGTCCAAGTTCTAAACTCAAAAGTTGTACAAGGCCGTGCCTGACATAGCCCCTGTGTAACTGTCCAGTCATATTGCTCGCCACAGCCAGCACCCACTAGCCACCAGTCACACCAGCAACATGAACTTTGGTTACATTGCTTCTGTTTTCTTTGAAAATGCCGCAGTCTTCTACCATCTAGATTTCTGCACACATTAGACCCTCTGCCTGGAACATGTTAGCTTGTGTGTCTCCCTATCTATATTTTCCACTTTGCCTAGTGTATAAGTTAGAAATGTTTTCAATCGCAAGGGATTGGGGAAAAACGGACTTAAAGTGAGTCAAATAGCAGCTCTTTCCCTGCAGCTCTTTGGCAGATAAGACCCTCCCATGACATTAGAAATGTAGAAGTGGGCAGTAACTAGCATTGCTTCAGCAGTATGATGATGCCAGGGCTGATTCTGTGCCATTCTCTTATCTTTCGTCCCAACCTTGATTACCTCATGGTCATAAGATGGTTGCTGCAGCTCCAGGCATTACATCCATCTTCAAGGCAGGAAGAACAAGAAAGGGCCAAGCCAGCCATTTCTGTCTCTTTCATGAGAAAAGTGAAATTTTTTTCAGAAACACCTCTAGCAGGCTTCTGTTGGAGTTACCTTGGCTGAACTTGGACACCTCTAGCTTCAAGGAAGATTGGGAAGCTATTTATTTACATATATATTTATTTATTTATAGACAGAGTCTCACTCTGTAGCCCATGCTGGAGTGCAGTGGTGTGATCTTGGCTCACTGCAACCTCCACCTCCTGGGTTCAAACGATGCTGTCTCCTCAGCCTCCCAGGCTCCTGAGTAGCTGGGATTACAGGTGTGAGCCACTGCGCCCGTCTAATTTTTGTATTTTGTGGTAGAGATGGGGTTTCACCATATTGGCCAGGCTGGTCTCGAACTCCTGGCCTCAGGTTATCCACCTACCTTGGCCTCCCAAAGTGCTGGGATTATAGGCGTGAGCCACTATGCCCGGCCCTGGGAGCTATTTAGCTCTTCAAGGCTCCACAGGGGAGGACAGGGGAGAAAAGGTTTGGAAATGACTGTTGAGTGAACCTCCTCAAAGTGTCTTCCCTAGTAAGCAGACTCTGACTCAGCCTCTGGTTTCAGTTTGGCTGTCCCTTCCTCTTGGAAGCCTTCCTTGATCCCTCACCTTTTTAGGACTAATTTAGATGTTTCACCATCATAGAGGTCTCTGAAGTTTTCCTTAGTCATGAAGTTATTTACTGACTCTCACCTTGAGGTATGTGTTAAATCAAGCCCTTCAAGAAAAAATGGGAAAATATGTATGGCCATGGTAAAATACATGCACAGACCACCCCCCGCCTCCCGACAAGGAAGCCTCCCTACCCCATCAGCATTTTACCTGTTTTTTTTTTTTTATCAAGTCTATGTGCAAGCTCAAAGTGGCCATGGCTTCTTGGGGGAGTCCCTACCACTTCCCCGAATTGAATAAACTCCCAGGAAAGCACTGGCAAACTTATCCCAACATTTGTGCCTGACAAAATCCTGTCAATCCAGACTGGCCACTCCCAGCCTCTTTGTTTTGTTACTACTTAAAAGCTTTAAAAATCCCCTCTTTGGGGGGGGCAATCTGTAAGATCTGTAAGCAGGTAAGATCTTGGACTTTGGATCCCAGAATGCCTGGGTTCGATTCCTGACTCTGCACTTATCTGATACATGGCTTTGGGCGAGTCACTCCGCCTCCCTGGGCCTCAGTTTTTTCATCTGTAAAATGGGGATAATAACAGCACTTACTTCTCAGTGTGGTTGTGAGGTTAATTCATCTTGGAAACCCTGTCACATGACAAGCACTCACTCCACATTGGCTGCATTTATTCCCTCTGAGCCCTACTTCCATCTACTGCTCCCGCCAGTCCCCTTTCTCCTCTCTTCCTCTCCAAACTCAGTCAGTGAAATGCCTAATCCAATCACTGCCTGAATCAGTGAGGATTACATTTCCTGGGAAAATTTACACCCAGGTGAAGGAGCTCAAACAAGCACCCAAATAACTAGAAAGCAGCAGCCGACATGGATTGCACTCTTGCTCTGTGCCTTGCATGCGTTAGTTGGCGTGTTGCTTGCTCACACCGGGTTGTTTCATTCTTCCCACATTTATAGACGAGGAATCTGAGTCTTGGAGTGATTTGTAAATTTATAGTGTTCCAGCAGAGGATGAAATGCAACTTTGGCAGCCAGCCTTGGTGGCTGATGCCTGTAATCCCAGCAATTTGGGAGGCTGAGGTGGAAGGACCGCTTGAGCCCAGCAGTTTAAGACCAGCCAGGGCAACATAGTGAGAGCCCCCTGCCACAACCATGTCTACTAAAAATAAGAAAAAAATATTAGCATGGTGTGGTGGTGTGAGCCTGTAGTCCCAGATACTTGGGAGGCTGAGGTGGGAGGATTGCTTGAACCCAGGGGTTCAAGGCTGCAGGGACTTGTGATTGCACCACTGCACTCCAGCCTGGGTGACAGAGCGAGACCCTGTCTCAAAATAAAAACAAACAAACAAACAAAATCCGACAACAACAAATTTGTCTCATTTAAAGCTTGGGCTCCTAACCATCATACTAAACTGTCTTTATTATGGTTGGTCAGCCCCAGAGGAGCACAAGACATTTTGGAGTTCAGAGGTGGCAGAAATCTCAACAGATTTGGGGGTTTCCAAAAAGCCTTCATGGACACATAAAATCCAGCTTGGAGAGTGGGGAATATTTCATCAGGTGGCTGGAGGAAATATAGAGATAGTGGGAAAGGCTTTTTGGATGCATGGAACAGCAAAAGCAAAGACACAAATTCTCAAAGCACAGGATAAATTTTGAGGAGAATAGTGGTTAGGAATATAGGCTCTGGCATTGACAAAACCCTTGGTTTAAATCCCAGCTCTGCCACTACTAGCTGTGTGACCTGGGTTAAGTTGCTTAACTTCTTTGTGCCTTAGTTTTCTTGCCTGTACAATGAGACACAGCAACCCCTTTGAAATGGTTTGGCAGGATAAAATGAGATGATGCTCAAAACCTCATACAGTGTAAGCACTCAGGAAATGCCATCTATATTCACTACGTCACACAGACTGGTGACCTGTATGTCACCTGCTCCCAGGAGATCAGGACGAGAAGAACAGAGGAAACAGCTTTTGAGTTTTCTCTGTCTTTAGGTAAAAAAAAAAATGGAAGCACTTGTTCCTCTTGCAGCAAATGACAGCATGAATCATGCTTTATTTATCCAGTCTCTTCTAGTCAGCCTTCTGCAACATGCCAGCATTAGTAGAATGTAGATAGGAACATGACCATTAAAAAATGAATACTCCAAGGCCAGGCGTGGTGGCTCACACCTGTAATCCCAGCACTTTGGGAGGCTGAGGTGAGTGGATCACTTGAGGTCAAGAGTTGAAGACCAGCCTGGCCAACATGGTAAAACTCCATCTCTACTAAAAATACAAAAATTACCTGGGCATGGTGGCATGCGCCAGTAATCCCAGCTACTTGGGAGGCTGAGGTGGGAGAATCTCTTGAACCTGGGCGGCAGAGGTTGCAGTGAGCTGAGATTGTGCCACTGCACTCCAGCCTGGGTGACAGAGTGTGTGAGACTTCGTCTCAACAATAAATAAATAAATAAATAAATAAATAAATAAATAAATAAATAAAAAATGAACAAACACTCCAGTATGGGCAACATAGTGAGACTTCATCTCTACAAAAAAAATTGTAAAAAATTAGCCGGGCACGGTGGCACAGGCCTGTAATCCCAGCTTCTTGAGGGGCCGAAGTGGGAGGATTGCTTGAGCCCAGGACGTGGAGGCTGCAGTGAACCGTGATCATGCCACCACACTCCAGCCTGGGTGACAGAGTGAGACCCTGTCTCAAAAAACAAAACAAAACAAAAACACTCACCTTGAGTACTAGTTTACAAATATTTGGCTTCAGCAGATATTTCAGACCCTTTCCTCGGGGAGAGACTTAAAGGTTGATTTCTGAAATAAATTATACAAGCTTAATGTCCATCCACTACCCTTTTACTGGTCACTAACAAGACCCCAGTGCTTGGGCCAATGTGGGGAGGGGAAACCAGGAGAAAAGAAACAGGGTGTTTTGTGTTTTTTTAAGTTCACATTTTCCTCCTTGTTGAGCCAGTTGGAATGTGGTCAACAAATTGCTTTGAAGGACCTGAGACATCTCGGTGGGTCCTTCCCACACCGTCTTTGTGTTGGTAAAAATCAATGCTGACTTCCACCACCATCCCTTCTGCCCTAACCCCGCTCCCTGCTCCCATTTCCCCCTAGGAGATCTAAGGAGAATTTAATCCATATGGTTTTGATTCCCTCACTCATCAAAATGCAGTTTTCCAAGAGCCATTTGATCTCCAAGATGTTATGTGAGTGTCTTTTTGTATTTTATTTTTTCCCTTAGAAAAGAAAAGCTGATGGTTTGCCAAAAGAAAATGAACTCCAAACTCTTGGGGTCTGAACTGGGTTCAAGCATCAGATCCAGGGGAGCCCAGGGGGATGCTGCTTAGTCAGGGGCCTCAAATGTTCTCTGCACAAGCCAGGTGAGTCTAAGCAAAATGGGGGCACTTTCTTTGCTTTCCTTTCTCGTGTGTGTTTGTGTGTGTGTGCACATGTGTGTGCGTGTGTGTGTGCATGTGTGCATGCGTGTGCATGTGGGCATTCTACCCACTCTTCTATCCCAGAAACTGAATAATAATGACCATGTATTAAGTATTTCCTGGGGTCCAGGCTCTGTGCCTAGACTGATTGACTGATTGACTGATTGATTGATTGATTGATTGATTTTTTGAGATGGTGTCTTGCTCTGTCGCCCAGGCTGGAGTACAGTGGCGCGATCTTAGCTCACTGGAACCTCCGCCTCCCAGGTTCAAGCAATTCTCCTACCTCAGCCTCCCAAGTAGCTGGGATTACAGGCATGTGCCACCACGCCCGGCTAATTTTTGTATTTTTAGTAGAGACAGGGTTTCACCATGTTGGCTAGGCTGGTCTCGAACTCCTGACCTCAAGTGATCCGCCCACCTCAGCCTCCCAAAGTGCTGGGATTACAGGCTTGAGTCACAGTTCCCGGTCTGTGCCTGGATTTATGATCTATGTGCTTTATGTAAATGCTCGAGTCTTTATAATCACCCTTTGAGGGAGGTGCTCCTTCCCTCCCTCCCTCCTTTCTTTCCTTCCTCCTTTCATTCATCAAATATTTATTGAGCATTTATTATGTGTCAGGTGCTATTCTAGGGTCTGGAGACAAAGTGGTGAACAAGACAAATTTCATCCCTGCCTTTGTGAAGCTTACATTCTAGTTCACGTGCAATTAAGCAAATGAGTAAGATGGCTTGAAGTAGTAATCAGTGTTATGAAGGAAATAAAACAGGAAGGTGGCAGAGAGCTTGTGCTCTGCTCAATTTAGAATGAGTGGTCAGGGAAGGCCCCGCTGAGCTGATTGCTGAATGACACCAAGGATTCAGCTGCAGAGATACAGGAGGAGCGAGCTCTCCTGCAGAGGGAATAAGAGGGGGCAGAGTCCCAAGATAGGAGCATCTTGGGCACGTGCAGGGGGTGAATAAAGGCCAGCAAGCTGGAACAGAGGAAGCAGGTGGGTGGGGAGTGGAGTCCACATGGAGGGGAAGGAAGCTGGGTTAAGCATGGAGGGCATTGCGGCCATGGGGAAAGCCCCTGGAGTTTTAGGCAGGAGAGTCTGGGGTCTGACTCTGTGTTTACACCATTGCTCTGGGGGCTGGCTAGGGAAGAGGTTGAAAGACCCGCGACAGGATAAAGAAGGAAGGAAACTGTCCAGGAAGCTGCTGCTGACCTCAGGGTATGGTTCTCCCTCTCTATCATGGCTCAGACGCAGGCAGACTCAGATGAGTGTTGGAAGTGAAGCTCACTGCCCCACCCAACTCCACTGCTTGGTAATAGAACTTAAGGAACTGAGTATTTTTCAAGGGGTTCTTGTCACAGTGGTGGTCCAGATGGAAGTTCGGAAGTAGGAGTCTAGATGTAGCAGGTGGGCTTGCTGACAGATTGAAGGTGTGGGGGAAAAAGAAGAGAGACATCAAGGATAGCGGGTCAATGGAGGCCTGAGGCAGCTCATGGGGTGATGGTCCCCATTTTCCAAACAAGAAAATGGAGGCCCAGAGAGGTTGAATATCCTGACTGAGATCCCATAGGAAGGGGCAAAGTCAAGACTCCAGTGCAGGACTCTGTCTTTTAAATCTGATTTCTGAATTGTGCTTTCACAACTCATTGATACGCCCTAGACCATGCTGAGCATTGCACCTGGCGGACAAACCCAGCACATTTCCTCCCCCAGACATCACGGTGGCTTTTCGGGATCTTTTAGGCCCTCGTTCCCCTTCCTGAGGGTATAGCTCCCTCACAAGAATGGATGTACAGCCGGGCACAGTGGCTAACACCTGTAATCCCAGCACTTTGGGAGGCTGAGCTGGGTGGATCACTTGAGGTCAGGAGTTTGAGACCAGCCTGGCCAACCTGGTGAAACCCTATCTCTACTAGGAATATAAAAATTAGTCTGGGCATGGTGGCTCACACCTGTAATCCTAGCACTTTGGGAGGCTGAGGTGGGCGAATTGCCTGAGCTCAGGAGGTTAAGACCAGCCTAGGCAACATGGCGAAACCCCTTCTCTACTAAAAATACAAAAAAAAAATTCACCAGGCATGGTGATGCACACCTGTAATCCCAGCTACTCAGGAGGCTGAGGCATAAGAATCACTTGAACCCGTGGAGTGGAGGTTGCAGTGAGCTGAGATCGTGCTGCTGCACTCCAGCCTGGGTGACAGAGTGAGACTCTGTCTCCAAAAGAAAAATAAATAAATAAAAATACAAAAATAACAATACAAAAATTAGCCGAGCATGGTGACGTGTACCTGTAATCCCAGCTACTAAGGCTGAGGCAGGAGAATTGCTTGAACCCGGGAGGTGGAGGTTGCAGTGAGCTGAGATTGTGCCACTGCACTCTAGCCTGGGCAACAGAGTGAGACTCTGTCTCAAAAAGAAAAAAAAAAAAAAAAAGCACATTCTTTTTATTTCAGGGCATTGCTATTTTGAAATGCGCAGGATACATATACCATTGCTTTTCCTTTTACTGATTTTATTTTCAATCGTTTGTGTCTGTTGTCTACACAATAGGAGTTTACTAAATACTGTTGATTGACTAAATGTCCTAATGCATGCTGTGATGTTTGTTTAATGGTATAGAGCTGTAGAAAGTTTTCATTCATTCATTCATTCATTCATTCATTCATTCACTCAGTCATTCATTCCTGAATACTATCCCTGATGTTATGCTGCACATTAGGGGCTCAGAGAAGAACGAAAGCAAACCTCTGTCCTCAAACAGCTTCTAATCTGGTTAGGTGTGAGTGGAGTGAGCATGTGTGAGTACGGAATATAAGGGACAGGTGTGCAAATACTTTCAATATGATGTGTGTACAAATTTTGTGAGTACATAAAAGAGGGACTTTTGACTCTTGGGGAAGGTGGGAAGGTATGGATTTTATTAGAGATGGCTTCAGGGAAAGCATCATATTCAAGCTCAGATGCAAGGGACAAGGGGAGGAATCCTCTAAGAACAGAGTGGAAAACTGAAGGGGATTGTGTTGGGAGGCACATTTTCCACCTTTGTAGCCCCTTCTCCAAATTAAAAAGGTCGGGATAGGTGGAAACAGCTGGGGGAGGTGAGTGGGAGGAGATTACTGACAAGTCCCCAAATTCTGTGGCTTGGAGAACTTTGGGATTCCTGTAGCCAGTTTCTGGGCTGTGGAGGTTCCCTGGTCCATATTTCTGGTATTGATGACTGTTGATAAGATATTGATGACTATGGCAGACGTGGGCTGTTTTTTCCCCAGCATCCTTTCTCCATTCTTTTGGCAGCAGCCCTCGTGCTTCTATAGGATCATCCCTTTTCCAGTTTCAGTCCTTGTGGTGTAGGAGAGGGTCAAACCCTGCCCCCACTGGGATATTCCATTCCCTTGGCCATAGTAGCCCTGTGATCCACACCATGCCAATCAGGGCCCAAGAGACTTAATGCTAGGATTTTCATTTGAATTACTGAAGCAGTACAATCCTGCTTTTCTGCTGGATATGATGCTGGATGGAGTGTGGTCCAAGGAGCTGTTGGCAACCACTTGGCAACTACATGAGGCTTAGAATGAGGCCAACATCAAGCGAGTACTGTCAAGACACAGAGAGGGAAGCTGGTTCCTGGTGACACCCTTTGAGCCCTGAATCAATGGATACCTGAAGCCAGCCTTATCCTAGGACATGAGCTAACAGATTGCCTTTTTAGCTTTAGCCAGTCTGAGTTGGATTTCCTTCAGTTTGTTCTGGGCAGAATCTCAACTAATACCACGGCCCATAACCCTGTGAGATATCATTGCTTCAGGAAAACCTTTTCTTTTTCTCCTAGAAACTTCAGTCTTAGAATGCAGAGGAGGGATGAAAGTGGGAGTTTTAGGCGTGATGGCCAGGAATACAGTTAAGAGGGGCAGAACATATTTGCCCCTGATTTTCGATTGCTGGTGCTATTCTCACTGATGTCAATCACCTTAGTGTCACTCAGTGGAAGGATTTACTGCAGTGGTAAATTTCAATGGAAAGAGTTTTGTTATTTCAGCACAAATTTTTGTTGTTAGTGGTGGGGACTTTTTATAGTTCTGTTTTTACAAATCAAAAGTAATGGTTAAAGTAGTGACTGCATTAGAGTCTATTCTGATTTCAAAGGATCCTAGAAGTCAACTAGTTCAACCTCATTAAACCTCTGGTTCTTCAACAGTAAAACTGAAATCATCAGAATATGCACCTCATGGGGGCATGAGCTGTCATGTATCTTAAACTCTAATATAGATTTGTATTTACAACTCAATAGAAATAGCTTACTTCCAATAATTTGGGTAACAGGAAATCATCTCATTTTAGAGGATCTAAGCAGTACTTCTTTACAAATTTATATATTTTAAATATGTAAATGGTTTCATGGCTCTCTCTGGGCCTCAGTTTCCCCATTTGTAAAAGGGGGGGTAATAATGGTACCTAATTCATAAGGTAGTTGTTGAGGATTAAGTGAATAAAGCCCTATGCTCCCCCTACCCAGTCACTCTCCACTTTTTTTGACCCTGCTCAGTGTCTGGGAGGCTGATCTGACTCAGGTGGGTTGTGGTCACGGGGCTCCACTGCCCTCTGGTTCTGGTAGGTTTCAGCCTATGAAAAACATGAGGCTGGAGCAGGAGAGCGGTGACTCTGCTGGGGTCAGCGTGAGCTGGCCATGTCTTGTCACCAAAGGCCCTAGCTCCTGGTGGGGAGCCCTCTCCAAAGGCCCTGGTAAAGGCTTTGTCTCCTTGTTGCTTCAGTCCCAGAGGCTGTCAGCTCCACTGTCACCTGTGTTTTCTCTACGTCTCACCCACACCTTTGCAAATGGTCTCTCTATTGAGCCGTTCTCAAAGCTCCCAATTCGAGTGCACCCCTCTGCTTCTGCTGGCTGCTGACTGATTCACTCCCTCGACAAGACCCAGGACAGTGCCTGGAACACACTCAATGCAGTCCCTACTGTAGTTATTTTGTTATTTACAAAGCAAAAAATCACATGCATCATGGATATGTGGTTCGACCATCAATTTCATAGTTCGAGGTCTTCTTTTCTTAATCAGATGTTGTGGTTTTACTTTCATGAGTTAGGAATGGCTTTGATGAATGACTGACCCTCCCATTGAAGTGCCGCCAGAAAGAATGGGTTATGGGCACAATCTCCAATGCCCAGTCATCACATTACACTCTTAGTCCTCCAGGATTCTCATCTCCCCTTATCATAACCCTCAGGACTCAACTATAACCCAGGAGGTTTCCCACTTGTACTAATGTAAATTAAGCAAACTCAGATACACCCTTTTGGTAGGGTCCATGGATGTTGTAGATTGAAAGTCTGTATTTCCCCTAAGTTCATACATTGCAGTCCTAACCTCCAAAATGATGATATTTTGATGTGGGGCCTTTGGGAGGTGATTAGATTTATTTTATTTATTTGTTTGATTTTTGAGACAGTCTCTCATTTTGTGGCTGGAGTGCAGTGGTGCAATCATAGCTCACTGCAGCCTTGACCTCCCTGGGCTCAGGTGATCCTCCCATCTCAGCCTCCTGAGTAGCTGGGACCACAGGCATGGTGCCACCACACCTGGCTAATTTTGAATTTTTTGATAGAGATGGGGTTTGCCATGTTGCCCAGGCTGGTCTCAAACTCCTGGGCTCAAGCAATCTTCCTGCCTTGGCTTCCCAGAGTTCTGGGATTACAGACATGAGCCACTGTGCCCGACTGTGATTAGATTTAGATGAGGTCATGAGAGTGGGGTCCCCCTGATGCAATGAGTGTCCTTTTACGAATAGGAAAAGGGAGCAGAGTTCTTTCCCTTTCTCTCCACCATGTGAGCACACAGTGAGAAGGTGGCTATCTGCAGGTTAGGAAGAGACCTCTCACCAGGGAACCAAATGGGCCAGCGCCCTGGTCTTGGACTTCACAGCCTTAAGAACTGTGAGAAATAAATATCTATTGCCTAAGCCACCTAGTCTATGGTATTTTGTTACAGCAGCCCGAGCTGACTAAGACGATGTAAATATTTCATGTGCATAAGAACAATGTGAACTCTTCTGCCCTAAGTGCTCACTGTGGGCCAGGTGCTGGGCTAAGCACTTTACATGAATGACCTCATTCAACGACCACAGTAACATGTATGACTACTTGTATTAGGAATTGCCTTTAGTTTTTAGAAAGAAACCAGGAATAACAATGATTCAAAAGATAATTTTTCTCACACACACAAAAAGCCGGGAGCTTGGTAGCCATGGGCTTAATAGTAGCTCTGTGGTCATCACAGTCTTGTGCTCTTTTTGTTTTATAGTGCAGGTGTTCCATCTTCAAGGTTACCTCATGCTCCAATGTGGCTGCTGTAGCTCCAGCCATTATGTCTACATTTCTGACTATGAAGGAAGGGAGGAAGGCCAAAAAAATTGTTTTAAGTGCCAGCTTAACAAATCCCACCTTATGACACTTTCTCAGAAATCCCACCCAACAACTCTGCTTATATCTCATGGGCCAGAGATTGCTCTCATGGCCATACCTAGCCATGAGGTGGGCTGGTCAAGGTAGTCTCTTGGCCAGGCTCACTGCAGTGCTTAGTAATGCCAAGGTTCTGTTCCTTAAAAAAAAAAGGGAAATTAAGATGAGGCAGGTGGTTTCTGCCATAGGACTGCTGTTGTCCTCGTTTTACCAATGAGCAACATGAGGCTCTGAGAGTCAGGTGTCTTGCCCGAGACTGTATCAATAGTAAGATGGAGGCTGCATTTGGATGGATGTCTGCCCGACTCCAGTCTTTATTCACTATTGATAAAGTTTGCCTAAGAAGAAAGGCAGGAAGCAAAGTAGGCAGCCACATGCAAGCTCACATGTTTCCAATGCTGCTTGACGGGCACCCACTGAATGGGCCAGAGTTTTAATCCATCTGGCTTATGTGCAAAACTGACTCACAGAAGGCTTTCCAGAGGGTACTCTCACATAGATGGAGGACTCTCTTAACACGCTGGCTTGTCTCTCGTTCCCGGTAGACTGTAGGCGTTGAGTGGGCTGTCATGGGCACCGTTGTATGCCCAGTAGCCAGCACGGGGCCTCGCACGTCACAGGGACTCAATAAGTGTTTGCTGAATCCATGAAGGGAGTGAATGAGTGAGTGAACTAATGAACTTGGATATGGATGACAGTCATGAAAGCCAGCCAACTTATTTTTCTTGGATGGCATTTACCACCAGCTGACCAATTGTGTTGAAACCATCCCTGAAGAGGTAAAATTTCACCGAGAAAACCACCCATTGTCAACCACGAGTCCCAGGAGTCTCTCTCTGTGAAAAATAGCATGTGTGGCCCCCCATGAAACCTTTTTTTTTTTTCCTGGTAGATTTTCTGAATATCCTTTTTTTCTGACTGGCCTATAAAATGCATTGAGAAATTATGCTAATGCTAGTATCTCTCCAACCAAGTCCTACTGAGGATTGAATCTATTTTTCAAAGACAAAACTGAGTTTTAATTTAGTGCCCCCTTGACATTTTCCCTTTCAAGCACATGAAGGATGCTTCTGCAGAGGGAGAGGTCTTGGGAAATCTTTCACGGATGGCTACGCTTCACGCCTGGGTGGAGTAACCCTCAGCACGCCAGCTTTCAATTAGAAGTAAATAAATGGAGACAGCTTTGCGGTGTGCCCGATACTCTGAAAGATCAACCCCCGGCCTCGGGGCTGCCTTTCTCCCACTGCAGCTAAAAATGTTCATTTACATTTTTTTGGTGTTTTCTGAGCAGCTTTAATGTGCCAGGTTTAACCTTTAAGGCCCTCTCCCCTTCTTCCTTCTGCTTCTCCCCCAACCCCTGGCTTTGAGGATGCCACAAGCCTTGAAGCACTTGCAGGAAACAGCTGCACACAAGTGGATTTCCAACTGAATTCTTTAGATGGAAGTTTGGCTCTTGTAGGATCATGTAAAGGAGTCTTTCATTTCCCCTCTGTGATTGTCATTCTGTTTGGAATAAGGGCAGCTGGGGATGCCTCTCCTTTGCCCATTACATCCTAAGGCAGAGGTGGATTTGGGGGCCTTGGGTTAGGATTGGGGATAGGGGATGTCTGGGGAGGGACTCCTTGCTGTGCCATTCCTCCACATTTGGAGACCGGAGGGGAAGACCTTGGTGTCATTTTGAGATTCTTCTATTAGGGAACTATATCCATTAGTTATTGCTGCAAAGCAAATGACTCCAAAACTTGATAGCTTAAAACATCATTTACTCACCTTTAGCTCACAATTGTGTAGGTCAGCAATTTGGCCAGCCTCAGCCAGGCAGTCCTTTGGGTCTGTACTGGGCTGGTCTGGTCTCAGATGGGCATGATCAGCTGCCAGGTTGGCTTGCGACGGTCTCAGCTGAGATGACTGGGGCTGTCGCCATCCAGCAGGCCATCCTGCTCTCGCACAATGAGAGCTGGGCTGAGATGACTGAGGTTGTCACCGTCCAGCAGGCCAACCTGGGCTTGCTCACTTGGTGGTGGAAGGGTTCCAAGAGCAAGCACAGAAGAGCATGAAGTCTCTTGAGGCGTCAACTGAGAACTGGCGCCATGTCACTTTTGCTGCATTCTGTCAAAGCAAGTCACAAGGCCCACCCCAGTTCTGGGAGTAGAGAAAATAGCTCTGCCTCTTGATGGGAGAAGCTGCAATGCATTTTGGCAATTTTTGCAATCAACAACAAGGAGTGATTTTCCAGATCTGCTTCTCAAGGCCTAGGGCTTCCATGGAAAAGCCACAGGGGCCACTGTAGGTTCAAGATTAAAGTTTGGGCTATCCTCTCGCACCTTTAACCCGAGGAACTCACTTTTATCTGCAGAATATATTGGACTTCCAAGTAAGATCTCACTTGAACAAAGGTTGCCATGGTTAAAAGACATTGAATACCAATTAGTTAGAAGTAATTGTCAGGCTCTCCCTACCTGCTTCTGACCTCTGTGACTCATAGAATTGCACTTCCTGTTTTCTGATAAAAGAGAACTAGTGCCAAGAAGTAGGAAGATTCTGGCCTTGCTCATTCACTCATCAGTCTCTGTATCTCCAATCCTCATACAATCTCAGTGTTCTAGGCTGCAAAAAGAAGTGGAAGACAGTAATGCATAGAAGAGTTCAAACTAAAGCCAGGCTTTCAGGGTTCAGATCTCAACTTCCTCCGTTGCAGTGTGGTCATAGGAAGGTTACTTAACCTCTCTAAGCCACAGCTTCTGCATCTATAAAATGGGGTGAGAATATCTATTGCATGGATTAAAAAAAGATAATTTGTACAGCATAAAAATTACTCAAATCATGTTTACTATTTTTATGATGTAGTCTTCAAGTTCCCTTAACATTCTAACAGATTATATTCCCTATGAAATTATGGTGGGCAGTGCCAATTTCCAGTTGCTAGGTGTTCTGGTTTGGGATTTTTTTTAGGAAGGCATTCAGCAAAACAAGCCTCTGCTCACTGGCCTGCCACCAAATGGTAAAATTCAGCTGTTTGAGATTCATACCTTTGGCTGAGTACATTAAGGTGTTCTTATTCGTTAATACGTAGTTTGATTAGATCATTTTCTCCATGAATATTAAGCTGAACCCTAGGCAATGAGCAATGTGAACTTTGATGGAATGTTTTTCAGAGGAAGGGAAGATGATGTATGGGTGAACAGGAGAGAAGATAAGTTTGGGCTGGCCATAGCAGAGTTAGCGGGTGGGGAGCAAGGAGGTTGGTGCCTGAATGAAGGAGGGGACCCCTTACGCTTCCAGGAGAAGTGCCAAGAGGCACTTGGCATACTTTCCTGCTGTGCCTGGAGCTGAGAGTCTTCGTACCTGGTGCACAAGAAAGGAAAATGTATCCTCCAGCTTTGCCCATCATGATTCTGAAATGCTTTCAGGCACCCCAGGCTGTGCGGGAATATTTAAAGCCACCATGATTACCATTTGCCATCTGACAGGAAGCAACTCTGTGCCCCTGTATGAGAGAAGAGCAGTTATTTTCTAAGGTCCCCTGGGGCACGTTTTGGTGTCTCGGGGAGGAGAATCTGCACCCTCACCCCGCCTTCCTTTGGCAATGAGCAGGTCATCCATCAAGTTGGTCCTGCCCAACAGGATCTTCCAGATCTCTCAGCAGAGGCCTCCACTCCACTAGGTCTAGGCAAACAGGCTCCAGCTTGCTAAGGCCGCGGGCCTGATGGGAAGGGCAGGGCCAAATGGCCCCAGCCTGACTTTTCAGATGCTGCACGCAGACTGGGGTGCACTGAGGAGCAGTGCCTCATCTTGGGATGACAAGATGTGGCCAGGGGGTGTGTGCCTGGATTCCACAGGCATCAGCAAACACCTGGCTTCCTTTGGTATCAGGCAGAGGTGCATCTGGCTCTCAGCCAGCTGTCTATGTGGAAATATTCCACCCCTCTTTTAAAATTGCATTTTCATATCAAAGACAAGCTAGGGAACCAAGAGGCCCTTATTGGAGGGGAGCATTGTTTTTCAGGATTTGCCTTAGCATTTTTTTTACCTAGCAAATTCTCCTAAAATATTTTAGAGTTGTACTTTTTTGGTTTTGTTTTTTGGAATGTCTATCATTTTTATCAAACAAGTCATCTGTGGGTGCTCACTATGGAGAAATCTGAGGAAGAACAGATAAGTAAAAGTTTTGTTTACAGTGAAAAATTGCTTATAAATAATTTTTATTAAATTATCTATTTTTGTTTTTTCATCATTTTCTGTTGAGAGCATATCCTATCATTTGTTTACAGAATTCCCTGTGTTTAGGAATTTAGGGGTCTTTACAGGCTCCCTGCCCCTGCAAAAATCCCCGTGAGATGAAGCCCCAGTTGCTGGCAGTGGTAGTGGGGTGGTAACTCACTCTTCTCACTCTTTATTAACTGCCTGCTCTTGCCTGTCTCATTTCTCCACTTCCTTACTCATTTCTGTTTCACCTCCCAAATAAACCACCTGCACTGAGATCCTGGTCTCAAGGGCTGCTTCTCAGGAAACCCAAACCAATGCAGCTATCTACTGTTTTTGAGTATACAGTCACGTGCCACACAACGACTTTTCAGTCAATGATAGACTGCATATACGATGGTGGTCTCCTAAGATTATAATAGAGCTGAAAAATTTCTATCACCTAGTGACATCTTGATGGTCCTGACCCTGTGCAGGCCTAGGCTAACATGTATGTTTGTGTCTTTGTTTTTTTGTCTGTTTGGTTGGTTTTAGTTTTTTGTTTGTTTGTCTTTTTGAGACAAGGTCTTGCTCTGTCACCCAGGGTAGAGGGCAGGGCAGCAATCATGGCCCACTGCAGCCTCAGACTTCTGGCCCCAAGTGATCCTCCCACCTCAGTCTTCCCAGTATCTAGAATGACATACTGGAGCCACCATGCCCAGCTAATTTTTATTTTTTTTTTTATAGAGACCAAGGTCTCACTATATTGTACAAGTTGGTTTCAAACTCCTGGCTGCAAGCGATCCTCTCACCTTGGCTTCTCAAAATGCTGGGATTACAGGCATGAGCCACCATGCCTGGCTCTTTTTCCTTTTGCAGGGAGTGGGGTCTTGCTATGTTGCCCAGGCTCATCTTGAACTCCTGGCCTCAAGTGATCCTCCTACCTCACCCTCTCAAAAACTGTTTAAAGAGTTTAAAAAAAAATAATTTTTAAATAGAAAAAGGCTTATAGAATAAGAATACAAAGAAAGAAAATATTTTTGTACAGTTGAAAAATGTGTTTGTGTTTGTGTTTTGTTTTTTGAGACAGAGTCTCACTCTGTCACCCAGGCTGGAGTGTAGTGGCACAATCTCTGCTCACTGTAGCCTCTGCCTCCACCTCCTGGGTTCAAGCAATTCTCGTGCCTCAGCCTCCCAAGTAGCTGGGACTACAGGTGTGCGCCAACACACCCAGCTAATTTTTGTATTTTTTAATAGAGACGAGGTTTTGCCATGTTGGCCAGGCTGGTCTTGAACTCCTGGGCTCAAGTGATTGCCCGCCTCAGCCTCCCAAAGTGCTGGGATTACAGGCGTGAGCCACCACGCCCGGCCTGTGTTTGTGTTTGAAGTCTTATTATAAAAGAGTCAAAAAGCTTTAAAAAAATTAGAAAGTTTATGACATTAAAAAGTTACAGTAAGCTAAGGTTAATTATTGAAGAAAGAAAAGTGTATTTTAAAATAAATTTGGTATAGCCTAAGTGTACAGTGTCTATAAAGTCTACTGTAGGGTACAGTAATGTCGTAGGCCCTCGCATTCACTCACCACTCACTCAATGACTCACCCAGAGCAACCTCCAGTCCTGCAAGCTCCGTTCATGGTAAGTCCCCTATACAGGTGTATCATTTCTTATCTTTTACACAGTGTCTTTACCGTACCTTTTCTGTGTTTAGATGCACAAATACTTACCACAGTATTACAATTGCCTGCAGCGTTCAGGACAGTTACGTGCTGTACAGGTTGGTAGCCTAGGAGCAACAGGCTACACCATCTAGCCTAGGTGTGTAGGAGGCTCTCCCACCTAGGTTTGTGTAAGTGCACTCTGAAATGCTTGCACAATGATGAAATTGCCCAATGATGCATTTCTCAGAGCATAGCCTTTTCACGAAGCGATGCATGACTGTACACCATGTCTCCCTTGACCAGCATTGGATTCGCATACAGCTTTTCAGGAGTGCTCTTGCCTAATGTGGATTACTCAGAGGTCGGGGCTTTCCTGATTCACTTAGGCTACGTTTCAGTGCACCACCCGGGTTTGGCAACTTAACCTTCGGCCTCCAAGTTTCTCATCCTATGCTAGACTTTCGCCAAGGCCTCCTTGTTACTAATGGCCAGTGCTTGGCCATCAGTAATGACCAACCTCCTGTAACCTACTGCCAGTACTAATGGCCAACCCTAACCCTAACCCTCCTTTTCCTCCTTGTCACTTTGCCCCTGAGTTAATCGTCTCCTACAATTCTGCTATCTCTTCTTTGTTTTTTTCTTATCAAAAAATCTTTAGCAGCCTTAGCCTGAATGCAGGAGGCCCCAGGCCATACTGTGATCTAGGTGAAGGGTTTCTTTGGGGATTCTCTTTACCTGGCTCTGAAAACCCTGCTTTTTCTTGTAGTCCTCCCTGGAAAGAATTTTTTTTTATTAGGTTGTCCTCTGAGGTGATGTCTCCTCCTGGTAGAAAGAAAAATAATATTCTTTGCAAAGCATTGACATATATTCTTTAACTTTACTTTCCCTCCACCTCCCAAAACTTGCCAGTTTCAGGGTCCAAAGTTCCGGACCTCTGACAAAGCATGCACCCACTTACAGATGGAATACATGGGCATTGGCCTGGGACCTGAT
>NW_021159987.1:0-145975 GCF_000001405.40 Homo sapiens | reverse complement strand
TTCAGTTCTAGACATGATCTTCTGTCTTTCTACACCTGGAGCTGAGGACTCAGCTCTTTAACATCCACCTTCCCACCTGTTTCTGCTCCTCGTGTGCCTCTCAAAATTAAGTCTTAATTAATAGTTGAATCTGTTTTACTGTTTCCATAGTTATAGCTGTGTGATACAATCAATCACAGTTCACAAAACGAAATCACATACTGCACTGTAATCCCACTTCTTTCCTTTTCAAACTTTTCGTTTTTCTTAAAGTTAATCATTGTTTGTTTCCTGTTTTTCTTTTTCTTTTTTTGGTGCGTGTGTGGCTTTTTATGAACTTTTCACTAATTCAGCTCCAAACTTTGCTTAAAACAAAACAAAACAAAACAAACAAACAAACAAACAAAAAAACCCACACAAAACCCCCGGGGTCTCTCAGCGCCATTGCTTTCCTTGCAGACATTTCTTTGGTGACGCACCCAACACTGGGCTGGTTTGCCCAAGGCCACTCTGGAACCCTGCTTGGGATGTTGCTGTCTAGGTGGGATCGTTTGCTCCCCAGATCTGCTGGTTTTTGCCCTAGTTTTGGGGGAGCTTGTTGAGCCAGGACAGCGGGGAGGGGAGCTGACCTTCTCCCATTTGCCCCGGAGATCCCTGCTCTGTGCCCACCTGCTGTGTCTGTGGGCTCCCTCCCCTCTGGTTGGGGCTCAGTGGGGGCCTGTGGAAGGGGACCGGTGGGTGGGAGGAGAGCAAGCCAGAGTTTCTTCCCTGGCTCTGTCCTTCTCTGTCATGCACAGCCCTCAGGAGCCTCCACAGAGTGTCCTGGGCTCCATCGACCACGCCTCCCCAGTGGCAGCTCACCACCTGCTGCCACCCTGGCTGTGAGCACCCCACACTCTGCCACACCTCGCACATAGCTCTGGTCAAACTTCCCTCAAACCACGGAATCTGGGCGTGGGCCTGGTGTCCTGCCAGGCCCTGGTGGGGAGGCCTGGGGCTGCTGCTGATGTCTTTACTCGGCACTCACAACTGACAGGACACCTGGGTCCACACACCGGGGGTGGAAGGCATCACCCCAACCCCACTGTCCCAGCACTGCGGTGGGGCCGTCCAATGCGGTTCCAAGGCTTTGCTGAGGCCAGGGGGCCTGGCTTCTCCCCACTCCTGTTTCCACAGTGGGGTCTCCCATAGCCTGTCTCCCCGCCATGGCTCTCTCTGTTCCAGCGTGGAGCAGTGATGTCCCTGGAGATTCAGAAAGAATCACGGGGCTCCTGCAGCCCACCCCACCTTCCTTCTAGTCCCAGAGCCTGGGTGGGTGGGCAAGGCAGTGGGCTTGGGTACCCCAGGGCAGGCCCACTGGGTTGCCACAGACGGTCTTGACCTTGGCTGAGCCTCCACTGATTGTAAAGGTGACACTTAGCCCTCTCCCGCCTCTCTGTTGTTTTATTTTTCCAAATTGCCCAGAACCTGGGCAGGGGAGAGGGACGATAACTACTAGCCCCCTCGATCATCCTAGAACTGGCGCTTCGACATCAGCACCGCGTGTGCCACTCCTGCAGTGCTTCTTTCCCTCCCTCCTCCTTCTTTCTTTCCCTTCCTCCTCCTTCTTTCTTTCCCTCCCTCCTCCTTCTTTCCCTCCCTCCTCCTTTCCTTCTCGGTGTAGGACATTCCCATGGCCCTTTCAACCCGGAAACGCATGCCTCTCAGCTCTGAATCCTGCTTTTCTCTGTTCTGTCTTTCTGGGACTCCTCATTGGACTTCCTGGATTCGTGCTCAAATCTTTTTGTTTTGTTTTGTTTTGTTTTGTTTTGTTTTGTTTTTCTTCTTCTCTTTGTCTTTTTGCCCTGCTGCGTATGATTTCTCTCATTTCATCTTCCAAAACTGCTACTAAAGTTTCCATTCAAGAAATGGTTTTCCTAATTCACAGGAGATCACTGGAATTCTCAGTTCTCTTTTTCGCCGGTCGCTGTATCTCGGAGGTATGGGAGCTTCTCTCCGGCGGCACCTCTGACGTGCTTCTCCCCCTTCCTCTGTGCTTCTTCTGTGTGTTTGTTCTGGCCTGTCTGTCCCGGGTGTCCATTTATAACGGAAGCTGAGAGGGGTTCTCCAGCCTCCTGCCTGGAGAGGCAAGGCTGGGCTTCCAGCAGCTGGCATTGAGCAGGGGAGAAGTGGGGAGCCTCCTAGAGTCACCCCGAGTCCTCCATTCCCACCTGCTCCACAAGGCTGTGCTGGGGTTCAGACCCTTCCTGGACCCCTCCAGCTGGCAGGAGTGGGGGAGAGTGGTCATCAACTCTGAGCTAGGAAGAGGGTCTCCCCGTGTCTCTTGCAGATCATCAGCCGGTCCTGCAGCTTTAGCCCCATGCTGTACCTCAGAATTAGAGGTTTTGTCACCTGCCAGTCCCCAGTCCTTCTGGGACCAGCCTGCTGGTCCAGCTTCCCCGACTCAGGCCTCCCTGCTGCATTTCCTCTTTCGAGGTTCAGCCGAGGGGCTGCCCACCCTTCCCCACTCATCTTCCATGAGCCTCACAGGGTCTCCTGTCTGCAGGCTGCCCCTGTCCCCCTCTCCTGCGCATTCACAGGTCATTCCTTCTTTGATGTCACTTTCGGGGGCTGTATTTGTTCCTTGTGGCTGCTGCACCAAACAACCACAAACTGATAGCTTCAGAAGTGGATTCTCCCAGAGTTCTGGGGGCAGAAATTTGAATCAAGGTGTGGGCGGGGCTGGTTCTTTCTGGAGGCTCGGAGGGAGCGCCTGTTCCAGGCTGCTCTCCAGCATTCCTTGGCTTGTGGACACGTCACTCCCATCCCTGCCTCTGTCATCTCCCAGTGTTCTCTGAAATCTCCCACTGCCCTTCTCTTGTAAGGCCGTCCTTGATTTAGGAGCCACCCCAAATCCAGATGGTCTCATCTCCAGATCCTTAACTTAATTACATCTGCAAAGACTTTTCCCAAGTAGGGTCCATTCACAGGTTCCAGGGGTTTAGATGTAAACATATCTTTTGGAGGATTTCAGGGGGAAACACTGATAATCATGCATGTGTAACCGGTCACACCTAAACACGCTTCCTGCAATGCAGAGCTGCCGGACAGCTTCCTGCCCTCCCTGCTCCCTCCCACGCTTCATCCCTAGACCCCCGGAACCCGGGCATGGCCTGGTCATCCTTCCTGGCCAATGCACCCCAGCACCTCTCCCATCCCTCTCTCCTCCTCTGGCTCCCACTCATGCCCTCCCCACTTTCTTTCGGCAGTCGGGCCTGTTTCCTGGGTCACTGAGTCAGCGAGTGATGAGACCTGCTGGAAATATGTGTGGAGGATGGGCGAGTCCACTCAGCCTTGGATGGGGCGGCAGGAAAAAGGCAGCCCCGAGCCCAGCCCAGGTCAGGATGAGAGTCTTTATTCAGGAGGACAGAACTGGCAGTCGGCAGCAAGCAGACCCAGAAGTAGATATTGGGGGCTTCATCTCAGGGAGACTGGTGCTTGGAGGTGGAAAGTCAAGTCCACCGGGGTACAAACCAGTGTGGCCATGAGCAGGCAAAGGGCGTGGCTGTTTCTAAAGAGCCCTGACACTCCCAGGCAGCTGTCGGGTTCCTTGAGGGAAAGGACACTTTGAGTCTTCCTACGGGCTGGGGGTCAGAACGGACCTCTGCACTACGGTTTATGAGGTGCCCACATTCAATCCCATAAGGGCTGTCATCACTGTACTCTCTGGGCCTTCACTTGCTCTGGACTTTGCAGCTCAGGTGGCTCCGGTCCTGTGTGGGCAGTGAGGCGGTGCTCCGTGGATGGAGGGTTAGATCTGTCTTACCCCAAGCCAAAGGGCTTAAGAGGGAGACAGAGTGTGGGTGACCCCGCCTACAGAGAAGCAGGATGCAGGGACGGTACACAGGAGCAGGCCACATGCCCCGTACTCTTCCTCTGCATGTGGTGACTGCTCTGGGTGCCCCCTCTTTCAGATGGTCCTGGCCCCAGACGACGTGGCATCTTAGCCTGTGGGTTGAAGGCATCTGTGGGGCAGATTGCCTCTGTACACGTTGGCCCCTACGTGTGGCGGCCCACAGGCATACCCATGCCACACACAGTGAGGTGTTCGACGAGCCTCCGATGGCACCGTTTCTATGACTGACAGCCATTTTCATGGCCCTGCAGGTGCAGGATAACACAAGGCTGCACCTGGCCTCTGTAGCCACGTGGAATATACTGCCTCTCCCCAGGACCCACCCTGCCCACCCAGGCCTCACTCTTCCAGACAGCCCATCCCCACTCTGCCTTACCCAGAGGCTGTCTGGTCTCCTGTGAGGGTCCCCACCTCCTCTTCTGGGGTGCTCAGGGCTGCCAGCAACCCTCCAAACTATGTCACTCAGAGCCACACAGCATCCTGCAGATGGCACTGGGGCTGCAGGGAGACGGCTGACCTGGGGCTGAGTTCCCGTTGCCTCTTTGCTGCCGCATGACTCCCGGCTCCCATGGGGCCTGTGTTCCATCAGCTACAACCTGGAAGTCCCACCTCTGTCTGCAGTCACTTTCAAAATCAAAGAGTGAGACTTTTCCATCAAGACGTGTTGGTCTTGGCCACTGCACAGGCCCAAGGCTGTGTTTCAGACCTGAGGCTGAGGACCTGCAAAGGAGCCCCCGCCCCCAGCATGTCTCGCCCTGCGGGGAAATTCAGACTCAAGGCCCCCACCTGCCTGGCCAGCGGCCCTCCCTCAAGGATGGTCTGCGATGCCAGGGCCTGGCTGGGTGCAGGGGTCCCGGCAGTGCTGCCGCCCCCTCCAGGTCCCCTCACCCCACATGTCTGCACCCAGGCTCCTCAGGCTGACCTGGTCACCTGACAGCTGGGGACTCCGTCGGGCTGCCTTTGAACACAGGCGGAAGTGAGATGGGTTTGGGGTAGGTTTTCCTTTAGACAGCCCCTGGGGCTCGGAACAGTCTCCTGTTCTGCGGACTCACCAGTCATCTGACCCTGAAAACATGTGCACACCAGCTCACTCAGGTCTGTTCTCAGGGCCGTGACTGCAGAGGGCTCTGGTTGACCCCAGAGAAGCTGTGAGACCCCAGAGCAGGAGCCAGCACAGGGAAGTGGCCCCACGACATGCCTGGGGAGGAGAGCCAGCAGCAGGTTATGGGAGAGCAGGTACCTGCGTCCATAGTCCATAGACATGCATCACACACATGCAAATACACGCGTGCCAGCGTGCGTATGGAACCATAGACACACACACACGTGTTCCGGAAGCCAGCGTCTTTCGGCACCTCTTCCAGGAATGTGTGTGTGGGGGTGAAAACAGGAAGTGAGCCCGTGTCCACAGCCGCGTATTTCCACGTAGCCTAAGGTGTCGGTGACCCGCTCCTTGGATGCCCAGAGTTGGAGACAAAAGCCCCAGGAGAGACCCCAGGAGAGGCCAGGGCTGGGGGAGGAGGACACCCTGATGTGGCTACCAGAGTGTGCAGCAGTTGGGCTGGGAACAGGCAGCAGGCGGTGATGCCCGGAGAGGCGGCCGCCGCAGGGAGGCCCTGGGATGACCCCCCCGGCTTGGTCACTGCTCTGAGGCCCCCACTGAACTCCATCCCTGACCTCCCACGTGGGGCCAGGGTGCCCCCTCATTTGCACGGGGCCCTTTCATTCCTTGCCCCTTCTGCCTGGGGCTTCGGTGTGAGCACTCACAGGGCTGGGTCCCCCACAGAGGTGACAAGAGGCTGTTGCTCACCAGGAAACCAGGCTCAGGGCACCGGGCAGAGGAATAACGAAGTTTTCAACTTGGAAACCAAGAAAGAGGCTCCTCTGGCCCCACTGTCCGCCAGCTTTGCATTACATGACTTGGGATTATTTCTATTTGAATCACGTCAGGAGGGAGGGCACCGTGGCCTTCATAGTCTTCGTGGCCTCCACGGGCCTCAGCAGAGCATGCCAGACAGTACTGGGGAGGGCAGGGCCTTTCACTGCTGGGACCACAGCTGCCCCATTCTATCTCCCCAGAGTCTCGTGTGTGCACATGTGTGCATGTGTATGCTGGTTGTATGTGCATACATTCATGTGACCTGGGTACGTGTGCGTGTGTTTGAAGTGTGCCAAGTGTGTTCACACGCATTGTGTGTGTGGTCTGTGCGCCTGCATGTGTGTGTGTGATGTGTGCATGTGTGTGTGGTGTGTGCATGCGTGTGTGTGGTGTGTGCGTGTGTGTGGTGTGTGTGCATGTGTGTGTGATGTGTGCGTGTGTGTGGTGTGTGTGCATGCATGTGTGTGTGGTGTGCATGCATGTGTGTGTGATGTGTGCGTGTGTGTGGTGTGTGTGCATGCATGTGTGTGTGGTGTGCATGTGTGTGTGGTGTGTGTGCATGCATGTGTGTGGCATGTGCATGTGCGATCTGGGCGTGTGTGTGTGTGTGTCTGTGTGCTTGTTGCATGCAGTGGGTTCTGGCGCTTGTGCTTCAAGGATCTGTGACCTAGACAGGCGCTCCCGGTGATGCCAGCCCCAGTGGAAGCCAGTGCTGCATCAAGGTCACCAACAGGAGCCAGATGGAAGCTGAGGCCATGCTGGTGTTTCCGGAGCTCCTGTCCTTGCCGTGGTGGACCTGGGGACAGGGTGGGAGTGGGAAATGAGGCTCGCAAGCCACCACCATCCTGCCAGAGACCCCTACTTCCAGAACCTCTGTCTAGGAGCTGGGTGGGCTCTGTGTGTCCACTGCTTGGTGGGCAGCTCCACCCAGCAGACCCCGGTACCAGATGTCCCCCAGGAGACATGCGTTTGGTGGCTCAGGGTAGTGACCTGGTGACTCTCAGTCTCCAGAGCTGGAAGCCTCCACCCTGGGGTCCACAAGCAACACCCAGCCCCCAGTGCTCATGGGTGCTGGCATGGTAAGGAGGTAGCGGGCAGGGCATAGAGCCCTTGCCCTCATGCAGAGGTGCCCGCCTGCACCAGACCCAGGCTGACTCTCCTTGATGGCAGATCATGTTCCTTCTGGGATTTCTGGGCAGGATGCCAACCTAACCTGCACACCCAGGTGCTCCATTCTTAGCCAGCTGCCTGGTGAGCTCATGGTCAACATGGCACGGATGCATGTGGAGCAGACGGTGACTCGTTCAGAGAAGCAGGGAGGTGGTGGCACAAATGAATGCCATGCTTGGGAGAGCAGGGAATACCACCCAGGGTGAGCAGCAGGGAAGGCTGGCCCGGACTTTGGACAGCAGGGGTGGCTCACAGAATGGGCACGCTTCTGTATCAAGAGCGGGGCGTGGGTGTGACAGCAATGGTCTCTTGTGCTGAGGCTGCTGGGGAGCAGCAGAGGACTAGGCACTGGGAAAGGGCTGAGGCCCCCTCTGCTCTCCCAGGCCTCGGTCTGTTCACACTGGCAACCATGTTAGAGTTGGTAGTTTCTAGAAATTTCTACAAACATGCACAGCATAAAATGTCTCACATCCTCTCTCGTGCCTTTTAAAGTGAAGTAATAGTGATTCTTGCAACCTGTTCTGACTCTCTCAGGCAGAGCCCTGAGCTGCGAAGTAGAGATGAGAACAGAGATGGGGAGACCATGGCTGCGCGGACGTCTTTATTTTTCCTGGGTGGGGAGCAGGATACACAGCCACACTGCAGTCACTTAGCTTGTAAAAATATCTCAATAAATAAAACAAACAAGCAACATATACACTGAACAGAGAATATTTTTTTTTAAATGGCTAGCCAAGCAATCACGGAGAAAGGAAAAGAATAGCGGCGTGAAAGTAAGAATTCCAGGCTGACTTGAAACAATCATGCAGAGGCTCGGGGGAGGGGAAGGAACTCGGGGGTCCTCTTCTGAGAGCCTTGGTCCAGTTTCAACAGAATTGTACAAGAATGCATTTCTGTTTTATTAAAAAAATAGACATTAAAAAAGGCACTTAGAGGGAAATACAAATTCAAAATCCAAATCCTCATAAATGTGTTCCTGAATCTAGACATTTTCAGAAAGAATAAACCTCCCCCCAAACATAAGACCCAGAAGAAAAATCCAAACAGAAACAAGATGACCATGACAATGTCACCAGCAAGAGGGCTGGGAGTGCCCTTCCTATGTGGGGACCGTCCTGGGGGAGGACGGGAGCCCGGGTCTTCTGTCCGATGTCACTGCTGTCCCTTCTCTCGACGCTGGTGGAGGGCAGAGGTGGGGGCCTCCTGAGGTTGTTCAGGTTTCAGAAGTTACAGACTCGAATGCATCCCAATTCCACTTGCGCCGCCGACGCGACGGACAGCCTGGAAGATACGGAAGGGGGACCGTGAGCTACGGCCGCCTCGCTCGGCCTCCTGCAGGATCGTCCTGAGACTGTCCCAAGGCTGGGTGGGACGGGACACGGGGCAGGCCCTGAGAGAGCTGGCTCTGTTCTACTCATGTTCCTCCCAAAAGACACTGGGCAGGTGACTGCTACGGGGCCAGCCCAGGCTTCCGCAACCCCTGCCCCCTGGGCCAGGCCAAGCCCTTTCCCTCCCCCGAGTGCCCTTTCCTGCCCCCGAGTGCCCTTTCTCACACTCACCACCCCGGGGCCTCTCCCTGGCCCGTGCTCAGCGCAGCCATGAATGCGGTCTGGCTGTGGGTGAGCCCCTCAGAACAGGCTGCCTGGGGACAAGAGAGGCTCGGCACGTTGGCCCCGTGCAGGCCCGAGGGAGCTGTGGGGTTTCGGGCAGCAGAGGGCTGGGTTCCAGCGAGGAGGACGCAGAGAAATGGGTCAGCCGCTGGCGGGAGCTGTCAACGGCGGATTCTTGCTTTAAAATGCGTGCTTTCAAAACAATTGCAGACACACGGGAAGTTGCAAAGACAACACAGAGATGTCCCATGTGCCTTTCACCCAGTTTCCACACATACCACACCCACGAACACACCCCACCCCCACATACACACACACACCAAACATACCACACACTACACACACCCCACACTACATACACACCACATACCACACCCACGAACACACCCCACCCCCACATACACACACACCAAACATACCACACACTACACACACCCCACACTACATACACACCACATACACATACCACACCCACGAACACACCACACCCCCACCCCCACATACACACACACACACCACACAAACATACCACACACTACACACACCCCACACTACACACCACATACACATACCACACCCACAAACACACCCCACCCCCACATACACACACACCAAACATACCACACACTACACACACCCCACACTACATACACACCACATACACATACCACACCCACGAACACACCACACCCCCACCCCACATACACACACACACACCACACAAACATACCACACACTACACACACCCCACACTACACACCACATACACATACCACACCCACAAACACACCCCACCCCCACATACACACACACCAAACATACCACACACTACACACACCCACTACATACACACCACATACACATACCACAACCACAAACACACCACACCTCCACATACACAAACACACACCAAACATACCACACACTACACACACCCCACACTACATACACACCACATACACATACCACACCCACGAACACACCACACCCCCACATACACACACACACCACACAAACATACCACACACTACACACACCCCACACTACACACCACATACACATACCACACCCACAAACACACCCCACCCCCACATACACACACACCAAACATACCACACACTACACACACCCCACACTACATACACACCACATACACATACCACAACCACAAACACACCACACCTCCACATACACACACACACCACACAAACATACCACACACTACACACACCCCGCACTGTACATACACACCACATACAAATACCACACACACAAACACACCACACCCCCACATACACACACACAGCACACAAACATACCACACACTACACACACCCCACACTACATAAACACCACATACACATACCACAACCACAAATACACCACACCTCCACATACACACACACACCACACAAACATACTACACACTACACACACCCCGCACTGTACATACACACCACATACAAATACCACACACACAAACACACCACACTGCCACATACACAAACACACTACATACACCACACACCACACAAACACACCACACCCCTCCCACACACAAACACATCACACACACCACACACCACACAAACATACCGCACACTACACACGCATCCCACTGTCCATACACACCTCATACACAAACACATACCACACACAAACACACCACATCCCCACATACCCACACACACACTGCACAGCACAAACACACTGCATACTACACACACCCCACACACTGCACAAACATACCACATACATATCCACACAGACAACATACCATATGGTATATTATATACCACATTATATGCCACACATACAGTGGTGTCGTCACGTCACACCCAGGCATCTGGCACCAGTATGGACCAAGAGCTTATTCACATGTCACTCGTGTGGGTGTGTGTGGTGTGGGGTATGTATGTGTGGTATATAGTGTGTAGTGTACATGGTATGTTGTATGTGTGTGCATGTGTGTGTATGTGGTATGTGTGGTGTGTGCAGTGTGTGGTATGTTTGTGTGGTGTGTGGTGCATGTGGTTTGTGTTTGTGTGTATGTGGGGGTGTGGTGTGTTTGTGTGTGTGGTATGTGTGTGTATGTGGTGTCTATGTACAGTGTGAAGTGTGTGTGTAGTGTGTGGTATGTATGGTGCATGGTGTATGTGGTGTGTGTTTGGGGGATTGTATTTTGTATGGGGGGTATATGTGTACAGTGTGGCGTGTGTATGTGTGTGTGGTGTGGGGTATGTATATGTGGTATGTAGTGGGTAGTGTGTATGGTATGGTATCTATGTGTATGTGTATGTGGTATGTCTGTGTGTGTGGTATGTTTGTATGGTGTGTGGTGTATGTGGCGTGACTTTGTGTGTGTATGTGGGGGTGTGGTGTGTTTGTGTGGTATGTGTTTGTGTATGTGGTGCGTATGTACAATGTGGGGTGTGTGTGTAGTGTGTGGTATGTTTGTGTGCCATGTGATGTGTGTTTGTGTGTGGTGTAGGTGGTGTGTGTTTGTAAGTGGGGGGTGTAGTGTGTTTGTGTGGTGTGTGTGTATGTGGTGTGTATGTACAGTGTGGGGGGTGTGTGTGTAGTGTGTGGTATATTTGTGTGGCGCGTGGTGTGTGTTTATGTGTGTAAGTGGGTATGTGGAGTGTTTGTGTGTTTTTGTGTGTGTGTTGTGTGCGTTTATGTGTGTGTTTGTGTGTGTATTGTGTGCATTTGTGTGTGTGTGTGAGTGGTGTATGTGTACTTCCTGCAGTTTCATCATGCGTGTTGTTTCTTGCACCCCCCACTATGATCAAGACACACAATTCTTCCAGCCCCACAAGGTCCCCTCATGCCACACAAGTGACTTCTAAGCGCACTTGTGGGCCAATCAAACTGTGGGTGTGCCAGGCTTGGTGCAGCTCTGGGGCTGCAACCAGCTGTCCCGGGAGCGCCTTGGGGAAAGAACCCGCTCAGGCGCTACCCAGAGCCTGGTTCCCACCTGCAGGGGGAGGAGACACAGGCAGGAGGAAAGTCCAGGTCCTCCAGGAAGCCGGGGTGGGGACCCCAATCCCGCGCCTCCCTCTGTGCCTGCCAAGCTCAAAGAGAAGGTGCTGAGAGGTGGCCGGGGCCAGCGTCTGAGACCCAGGGTGTACAGGGATGTGGTGTCATAAGCCCAAGGTCTTGGGCCACCTCAGTGGGGCCCACAGGGCAGGGGACACGCCACTGGCATCAGCACCTGGTCGGGAGTGTGGCGAACACAGGTGGGCCCCGCGCCGCGCCTCAGGGCCGCTTCTGCCACACACCCAGGCCAGCCTGCAGCAGCCCCCAGGCTGTGTTGCTGTCCTGCCAGGAGACCTGAGCTCTAGCAGGGATCGCTGAAGACTGGCCCTGCGACCTGGGACCTTTACTGCTCACCACAGGGCCTGGCCGTGTAAGTGCTCACTCCCACACCTCTTGCACAAACATGAGAACAGCCAGTTGACCTGCAGAGCTCGCGGGAGGTGAGTGTTCAGCGAGAATTATTGGAGAACTCCCCTGAGCCAAGGGGCAAACCAGCGCAACGAGACCCTCCTCCCGCAGAGCGGCTGAGCGTGGTGGGAGGGGTGGGTGTCAGCCCAGAGGCAGGCATGGGCTCCCCAAGGCGGCCGCCAGGAGAGGGGTCACCGTGAGGATTCTGCCACAGGGAAGGAGGTCCAGGGAGGCCCCAGGCACTGGGGGGAGGATGTGGAAGCTGGAGGGACGGGTGACGTGGTGCTCGGTGACATCCCGTGTGTGTGTCTGTGAGTGTGCCCACTAGTGTGAGAGTGAGTGTGAGTATGAAAGAATGTCCAGAGTGAGTGTGTGTCCATGTGCAAGTTGTGTAAATTGTGTGAGCATGTGCATCGTGTAAGTTGGCCCGTGTGTGTGCCAGTGTGCATGCATGTGTGTGAGCATGTGCATCCATGAGTGGGTCTGTGTGTCCCTGTGGGAGTGTCAGTATGCATGTGTATGTGTGTGTGCGCATCCGTGTGAGTGCATGTGTTTTCCCGTGGAAGTGCTGGTGTGCATGTTTGTAAGTGTGTACATCCACGTGAGTGGGTCCGTGTGTCAGTGTGTGTGTGTAAGCATGTACATCCTCCTGAGTGGGTCTGTGTGTGTGTCCCTGTGGGAGTGTCAGTGTGCATGTTTTTGTGTGGGTGTGTGCATCTGTGTGCGTGGGTCCGTGTGTGTCCCTGTGGGCGTGGGTGTCTGATGTCGCACAGCAGTGTGCAGGGGGGACGTGTGGTTCCGCTCCTTCACCCCCAGCCCTCTCCCAACCCCCAGCCCCAGGCTTCACCCCAGCAGCCCAGGTCCTCAGAGACCTCCAGGAACCTTTGTTGAACCAAGGCAACAGTCTGAAAAAGCCAAGACGTATTTTCCCTGAAACCCATGCGTATGAAAACCACACACGCACACGCACACACGCGCACGTACACGCGCGCGCACACACACGCACACGTACACACGCGCGCGCACACACACGCGCACACGCACACCTGCACGCACACACACGCACACACGCGCATGCGCGCACATGCACACACACGCACGCACACACACGCACACACACACACACTTTTTTCAAAGTTCAGAGCACTCCAAATATTTAAGCCTTTTTTAAGTGGTCCTGGGCAGAAAGTCAAAGGCTGCTCTCTCTTGGAGAATGTGGTTGTAATTAGATAATTAATAAGGGGGGGTGGGTAGAGAAAGCTAAATGGAAGCCTTCCTCAGTGGGAGGAAATAATTACCACAGCTTTTGATATATGAGCTGAACCAACCCTCCAAGGGGAAATACCGTATCACCCATGAAAAGCCAAAAATGACAGGGGCCGTTCCCTGGCCAGTGGTGGGTTTCAGGGTTTGCTTCACGTGCCCGAGGGGACCCAGGCTCAGGCAGAAACGGGCGGCAGGTTCATTAGTCTTCTTGACCGAGAGCCTCCGGGCCTGGCCCCCTTGATGTCACCCTGACCCCAGCCATGTCTGCTGACATGGGCCGTGTTCTCTGCAACAAATGTAAAACATCTGGGGCTGGGGAGCGCCTCCTGCATACACAGGCCACCTGGAACTGTGTGCATGCGTGCTGCGTGCAGTTACCTCCCTGTATCTGCCTGCCTGGCCCAGGAGTCGGGGGATGGGTGGAGCTGCAAAGCTGTGGCTGAACCAAGAGAGTGCCTCAGTTGTGTCTTCCACACCAGACCGGGGCCCTAATGAGCAGGTGAGGCCCCATTCAACTCTATATCCCCAAGGCCTAACAAAGGGACAGAAGCATTACGGAAAAGGCTAGGGAGGCAGGGTGGGCCAAGGGAAAGGCGTTTTACTCTAAGACCATTTATCCATCTCCTCACCTGCCCACCCAGCCAGCCACCCACCTAGCCACCCACCTACCTACTTCTTTCTTCCTTCCTTCCTTTCTTTTCTTTCTTTCTTCTTTTTTTCTTTCTCTCTTCCTTCCTTCCATCCATCCATTTCTTCATTGATCCATTCATTGATGTACCACCTGTCCTTCATTCCCTCCACCCATCCATTCATCTATCCATCCTTCCTTCCTTTTATCCATTTATCCTTTCACCAATTCATTCATTTTTCCCTCCCTTCCTTCCGCTTCCTTCCCCCTTCCTCCCTTCTTTCTTTCCTCCCTTTCTTCCTTCCATTCCTGCGACATAATTGAGCATCTATCATGTGCCAAGAATGCTGCTAGTTGTTGAAAAAGCTGAGATGGATCAGAGAAATCTAGCAGGGCAGAAGCATGTTTGTAAGCAACTAGAACACAGGGAAGACACGGATCACTTTTTAGAGTGCAGGTAGACTCTACCACAGAAAGGGAAGGGCAAAGTACCATGGACACCGTTGGACAGTCAGAACCAGCATGGCAGGGAAGAAGGGTGGGAGGTGAGCACACATGTGAAATCTCTAGTCAGACACACACACACGAACACGCACACAGACACACACACACCCATCCCACACATACCCCACATCACACACACCCCACATCACACACACCTCACATTAGACACACACCTTACATCACACACACACTACCTCAAACATACCTCACATCACACACACTACATCACACATCCCATATCACACACACACACCTCACATTAGACACACCCCCATCACACACACACTACATCAAACACACCTCACATTATGCACATACCCATCACACACACCCCACATCACACACACACTACATCACACACCTCACATCACACACACCCCACATCACACACACCTCACATCACACACACCCCACATCACACACACCTCACATCACAAACACCTCACACCACACACCCCACATCACACACACTACGTCGCACACACACCTCACATCACAAACACCTCACATCACACACACACCCCACATCACACACACCCCACATCACACACACCCCACATCACACACAATACATCACACACATACCTCACACACACACCCCACATCACACAAACATCACACATACCCCACATCACACACACCTCACATCACACTCCACATCACACACGCCCCATATCACACACACACATCACACACACCTCACATCACACATCACACACACACCTCACATCACACACACCCCACATCACACACACACTACCTCAAACATACTTCACATCACACACACTACATCACACATCCCACAACCCACACACACCTCACATTAGACACACCCCACATCACACACACACATCACACACACCTCACATCATGCACACACATCACACACACCTCACATTAGACCCACACCCCACATCACACACATCCCACATCACACACACACCTCACATTAGACACACCTCACATCACGCACACACTAAATCACACCTCACATTACACACACACTACCTCAAACATACCTCACATCACACACACTATATCACACATCCCACATCACACACCTCACATTAGACACACCCCACATCGCACACACACTACATCTCACACACACCCATTCCACACCCATCACATAAACCTCACATCACATACCCCACATCACACACACCCATCACACAACTACATCCCACACCTCACATACACACCTCACATGAGACACACACCCCACATCACACACACCTCACATCACGCACATACCCCACAGCACACACCCCACATCACACACACTACATCACACACACATCACACACACCTCACACATCACACACACCCCACATCACACACACCTCACATCACGCACATACCCATCACACACCCCACATCACACACACATCACACACACCTCACACATCACAACACCCCACATCACACACACCTCACATCACGCACATACCCATCACACACCCCACATCACACACCCCTCACATCACGCACATACCCATCACACACCCCACATCACACACACTATATCACATACACACATCACACACACCTCACACATCACAACACCCCACATCACACACACCTCACATCACGCACATACCCATCACACCCATCACACACACTACATCACACACACATCACACACACCTCACACATCACACCCCATATCACACACACCCCACATCACACACACATCACACACACACCATCACACACCTCATATCACACACCTCACATCATGCACAACTCATATCACACACACTACAACACACACAACTCACATTACACAACCCCACATCGCACACACATGCACACACCACACACACACCCCATACTACATCCACACCTACATCACTCACACTCCACATCACACACACACCTCACACCACACATACCCCAATTCACATACATCCCATATCACACACTTATCACATCACACACACACCCTGATTAACACAAACCCCACACTACACACATACATACACCACATACTCCGATTCACACAAACCCAACACCACACACCCCCACACCACACATACACATCACACACACATACTCCATATCACACATACCCCATCACACACACCCCAATTCATACAAACTCCTTACCACACACATCACACACACACATACTCCACATCACACATACCCCATATCTCTCTCTCTTGCACACACACACACACCATTACACACCCCTGAGGTTCTGCCAGGGGACCCTGGAGGGGTAAAAGTGAGGATCAGGGGTCAGAATCTGGCCACAGAAGCGTGGGCTGTGACCATCATCCACAGCATGGAGCGGATGTCCAGGACATTCATTACCCTGAGCTTTCCCTGCCTTTCCTCAGCCCCTGGCATCACAGCGGAGGAGGCTTTGCCTCCACAGGACCCTGGCATCCCCCAGTTCATGCAAAAATGCTCTCACCCCCACCTCCTCTCCCTCCCCCACCACACCCTCAACCCTGGGCTTCCAGATGCTCAGGGCTAGGGAACGTGCCAGGGTGAGATCACAGCAGAGTTCACAGACATGGAGAAGTCCCAGCTGCCAGCCACCCCCATGGGTCTCGATGGGTCCTGGCCACCCCACAAAGCCACTCCTCTCTTCTCCTGAGTGCCTGGTGGGCGCGGTCCTTCAGTGGGGGCTCTCTGTCCCCTGCCGAGTCTGGACCCAGCCTCCTGACCCCTCAGACACCCACCTCAGCCACCCCGAGTCAACCAGAGGTATGGAACCGCTCAGCGTGGTCAGTGAGACCTCCCATCGGCGTGAGTGCACAACAGACAAGGAGATACCCCAGGGACCCGAGGGCCACTCAGGGGGCACATCCAGGCTGAACGCCTAGCAGAGGCCTCCGCACAGGGATCCAGCCTCAGAGCAGCAGAATTCACCTACTGAGGAGGAGCCTGGAGAAAACCAGAATTGTCTGCTTCAAAAAAAGGAACCATTAGGAAACAAAACAAGGACTGCTGGAAACAACAAAACAAATAGAAGGAGAAGTTTTAAAAAATTTAAAAATGAAGAAAAACAAATACATCAGAGAGTGCTCCTGGAAGTCTCCCAGCATGCTGAGCAAAAGGCAAAGGAGGCCGGCACGGTGGCTCACACCTGGAATCCCAGCACTTTGGGAGGCCAAGGCAGGTGGTTCACTTGAGGTCAGGAGTTTGAGACCAGCCTGGCCAACATGGTGAAACCCTCTCTCTACTAAAAATACAAAAATTAGCCAGCATGGTTGGCACACACCTGTAATCCCAGCTACTCCAGAGGCTGAGGCAGGGGAACACTTGAACCTGGGAGGCAGAAGTTGCAGTGAGCTGAGATTGCCACTGTACTCCAGCCTGGGCAATGGAGTGAGACTCAGAAAAAAAAAAAAAAAGCCGGGGGGGAAGGAGAAGGGATAGGGCAGAAACGATCAGAAAAAATGGCAGAGGAACGTGTCTCCACGTTCAGGATTATCTTCAGGTTATCAGGATAATCTTCAGACTAAAAGGGAACACCAAGTTCCAGGAAGGAAAACAAGAGGAGGGGCAACCCAGCTGAATCACGAAGAAATCTCTGGGCTCTAAGAGTAGGGCAACCTCCTACGGCTTCCAGACCCAGACAACCAGCAGATGCATGCTGGCTTCCAAACAAGCTCACCACCCCCACTCAGTGACACTCCCAGAATGTCCAGAGTGTTGGTGGAAAGAGCAGGGCAGCCCCGAAAGTCCATACCCAGCGAGTCCAGGGACCATGCGGGAGAGCGAGAGAAGCAATGCAGCTGCAGAATGTGCACCGCTCAGCAGCTGCTCCAGGGAAATTCCACTAGAAATGCCTTCTGTCCAAAGGAAAGGTATTCCTGGGGCTTCTTTCTCTGCAAGTACGACAACAAATGATGGACTAATCCCCCAGTGCAAAACAAGCAAATAAGAATGTTGGGGAGAAGGAAAGTGGCTGTAAGGAAAATCTTGAGAGGCCCACAGTCAACTGGGGGCAGGAGTCCAGGGGGTGTGCAACCCCTACAGCTTCTGGCCACACCGGGCACATCTGTGGGTCCCCAGTCACCCCAAGCTTCTGTCTGCCCAGTCACACAATGAATAAGGACAGCAGGAGCCAGACTGTCACCAGGCAGTCGGATTCGTGAACTCACACTCTTAATTCTCATGCTGTCCAAGTTACCAAACTCATCCAAGAAAAAGCAGGAAACCCAAATGTATCGATAGCCATCAGACATGTGGACCAGGTTACAAAGGTCTGTATCTACCCCACGAAGAATAACAAACCCGCTTGTTTTATAAGAGAATTAAACAGAACTTTCTATGAACAGATAATTCCCATCTATATTAAACTATTCCAGAATTTAAAGATGAAGGACCACTTCCCATTTTATTATTTATTTATATTTCTTTCTTTCTTTCTTTGTAAAGACTTTATTTTTTTAGAGCACTTCAGGTTCCCAGCAAAATTAAGAGGAAGGTCCAGAGATTTCCCATATACCCTCTGCTCCCACCCATACCCAGCATCCTTCATAAAAAGATGACACGGTTTGGACACCTGTCCTGACGGCATCAGAACCAAAGGCTAGAACGTTGCCGCCTGTGAATCTAAATGCAAAAAGTCCTAAGACATTAGCAAATCAAGTCAAGTCGGGTATTTAAAGAACCAATTCCAGATGACCAAGAAGGGTTTATTCCAGGAATGCAGAATGTTACCATTTGGAAATCTGTGAAAGGAGGGACGGTGAGAGCATGCCGGGATGGGCACAGAGAGGGGTGTGTGCAATTCCAAGGCCTGGTTTCCTGAGCTCTCCCTGAGACGGGCCCTGGAGCCTGGCCTGAGGCTGAAGCCCCGCTGCCTCTCTCTGTGGCGCAGCCTTGGGAGAGTGGATTAACCTGTCCAGCTCTCAGTTTCCACTTCTGCAAAACACCCAAGTGAGGGTAACAATAGGGCGTGCTGCATCAGTGCTGTGAGGGCTCAATGAGCTACTTCACCAGAAAGGCTTGGCCTTGCCTGGTCTATGGGCAACACACATGTCGCCATGAGAACAGGAGCCCAAGAGAGCAAGGAGCTGTTTTCTTCCCCAACTGGGTCTAGAACAGCTCCTGGCACTTCATAAGTGCTCACTAAATATTTGTTGAAAGAGGGACTACAATGAAGAAAGCAGAGAGAAACCAGCAGCTGAAGCCTTAGGGATGCGGGGACCGTGCAGACCAAGCAGGTGGCTCCCGTGGCCAGCGGTCACATGGCTTGGCAGGCCGAGGCCAGGACCGGATAGATGATGGACAGGGCTGTAAATACCAACAGCAAAGAGGCCAGTAATGCTGGGCCGTGCCAGGTCAGACGCCGGAGGGCAGCAGGGCACAGATGGCAGCCTCTGCCCACCTTCTGACCCAGGCACATACTATGTAGGGGAGCAGTCATCGGTCACATTGTCCAATCACCACACGGTGCCAAGGGGCCCACCAGGAGCCGGCACCAGAGCTGCCTGACTACAGGCTTCCAAATAACAAAGCTGTGCCTGAGCAAACCTGGGCAGACAGAAAGGCCACAAGATGCAAGGGCCGGGACCCTCTGCCAACTTCTCCCGGGGCCTCCCCTCCAGGACTTTGCCCATCCAGCCCCCACCCCAACGGAAGCCTCAAAGCCCTTAGCACGAGGGCACTATCTGGAAGGCTGGGCCGACATGGGTGCCTTCTCCCCACAGTGGTCAGAGCACTCACCCCCACCTCAGGGGAGAGGAAGGAGAAAGCAAAGCCAGCCCCCTCGGGGCAGCTGCACCCAAGGAGCTCTCGCCCACATTGCGCCCACCCTGAGCTGTGTCTCAGGAGCGGCTGGCGGGAACTCCCCTTTTGTACCAATCCAATAGATCCAAGCGATCTTTGCATCCTCAATGGCCTCATGGGCATTCTAAGTTCTTGCTACCCAGTTGGTCCCTGGACCAGCAACAGCACCATTCCCCAGGAGCTTTCAGAGATGCAGTCTCAGGCCTCGGAGCCTCAGAGTCAACATCTGCGCTTTGACAAAATCTCCAGTTCATCTAAGATGTTTTTTGGGCAGAAAGATGAGGCTGAACATATCCGGCCTTGTCATTCATCTCCTGTGACAACTCAGCCCTGTTCAGAGGGGTCAGCTGAGGCTGGGCCACACTATGTCACACAGCTGGTTAGAGGCAACATGCTCCCTGCTAGGGGCAGCTGGTTACAGGCAAGATGCTCCCTGCTCGGGGCTGGCCCCACCCCCAGCACCCGGGCCCTGAGACCGCGTTCGCCAGCTGCAGTTCCTCTGAAGGGTCCTAACACAGCCTCCAGCCCTCTTGAGACAGTCTCAGGCAGGCAGGAGGGCCTGGGGGCAGGCCAGACACTCAGTGGACAGAGCTGTGCACCCAGGCCGAGTCCAGCCCTGTGGACCATGCCTCAGTGATCACCCACCCAATGGGCAGGCATCAGGGTGCCAGCAGCAGGCCCCATGGAGACTCTCGGGAGAGTCCCTCCTGCTCTGCTGAACGAGTTTCCTTGTTCCATCTGGGTAAGGGTTCAAAGAGACCATTGGCCACCAAGGGCCAGACGGCTCCGGGGAGGCTCCCAGCTTGCTGCCAGCCCGGGCTGGGATGGGCAGTGCCAGCATGAAGCTGGCCACCTCCACCCCAGAGCCTTCTCCCCAGTGCACTGTCTTTTTGACAAATGTCTTGTCCAGAGGCGGGGGAGGAAATGCAGAGTGCTGCTTTCACGGTAGAGAGTGTGATGCCTCCTTCCAGGCCACATCTGCACTGCGAGCTCTAAGCAGGGCAGGGGACCTCGGAGGCTGAGCAGCTGAGCACAAGGCTGGCCCTGAGCAGGAAAAGCCACTCCTCACTAGGGAACCAGGCACCAGGGTGGCCTGGGTTGGTGGGGCCTGGCATGTCAGGAAGCCAGCTGCTCTGCCACCCTTGCTGGGTGCTGTAGGGGGAAGGTGGCAAGGGGGTCCCACTTGGTAAAAAGGCAGGTGTCCTTGGGGGTCAGGCTCCCCTCCTCCTGGCCAACCTCCGTGGCTCCCCCAGCCCTGGAAGCTTGGGGGACACAGGGGCAGGGGGGCGCGCGGAGGACAGAAAATCACAAGGGAAACAGCAAAAGCTTACCATCCCCGCTTAGTCCCACCACAGGACCATCTAAGAATCAACGTCTGCAACCAAGGGAGAAGTGCGGCAGGAGGAACGCAGGGATACCGTCCCTGACAGCGACTTTCAAAGGGGGCGTTGGAGGATTTGGTGAATATTTCTGTGGGACGATGGTGAGGCTAAGAGGAAAGGGATGGAAAGCAGGCTCTGTTCTCTCTTGAAAGCAAATGGGAATCAGGAAACAATTAGAATTCTGAGATTAATTTGTTTTTTACAACGTTCCCCTGAATGGCTCTGCCAGGTTGCCCTCACTCCTTCACTCAGGCGCCTCCCTCCCCCTGGGGTGTGCCTACTTTTCTCCAAATGGAAGCAGTGACTGTTACAGGCAGGACCCCCTTGTCTCTGTCTGTGGGCTCCGGGTGGAAGCTTCTGCCCTGTGATTCTCAGCAGGCTGGTGAGTGACAAGGAGGCCACCACGTGCCCATGGTACTCCAAGAAATGGGCCAGAGCTAAAATCCCAGAGCATGTGTGTGTGTGGCAGCGGCTGGCCCCATTCCCCTGTGGAGAGTCAGGCCTTCCCAGGAATGACTGCATGGGTGAGATTCCCCCACTCACACCCCAAAGTTCCTAGGACCCCCAGAGGATTGATGGGTGTCTGCTGGTCAGACAAATGCACCAGGTGCTGCCTGCTCTGAGCTCTTACAGGGCCTCGGGAATTTTTGAGACATGTGGCTCAGGACGTGTTCAGGTGGCAGCCTGATATTAGGGAGCCAGCTGGTGACTTGGGATAAGTCACACCCCACCCCACGTTTCTGTGCCCCAGATTCCTCCATCTCTGAAAGGACACTGCTCGGCCAGGCGGCCTCCAGAGGGACTTCCGGCACCACTGGCTTGAAATGGGGTCCTGCAGGGAGCCTGTGATTCCAGCGCAGCCTGGTGGCCCTGGGGACAGTGGCCTGTTTGCTCCCCATGCTATGGACGTCTCCCGTGCTTTCTGCATCCCTGTCTGCTTTGATGGCACGGCAGGCACGCTTTTGGATGCCCCACACATGGGGCGTTCGCCGTCAGGGTCTGGAGGGTCAGTAGGCAGGGTGCAGTCAGGCGACTGCGGAGCCGTCTTCCGGATCCCCGCCCCTCTCTCCCCCCTCCGTGACTCATGCCTCTGACCCCGGCTTGCCTGCTGCGCCTGAGAAGGAGGAATCCTGCTGGGAATGTGGGAATGACCATATTTACAACGCCGGGGCTCCCGGTGGCTATTGGCCTGGCCTGGCTCCTCCAGGGGAGCGAGGACTTCACGCCAGCTGGAAGCCAGGCTGTCTCTCTCCCTCAGCTTGGGCTTGGCTTCAGGGACCCAGGCTGACTGTGCTTGGAATGGCCTGTCTGGCAAGGAGGAGTCAGCCCAAGGAAACCAGGGGAGAGGGCGAGCTTGTCTGCAGCGGACCAGGCCGGCTCCTTCCTGCTTGGAGCCCCCAGCATCACTGCCAGAGAGGCCACCCTGCAGAGCCTCTCCCTGTCCACCTGGCAACCCCCAGGCTCTCCAGGGCGGGCTCTACCGGGGCTGAGGCCGCAGAGTCTGACCGGTCCGTCAGGATCTACCCCACCCTCTTCCTCTCTGCGAGACCTTCCCGTTTCCCCACGATGAGTGTCCTGGGAGCACTGCAAAGGGACCGCTCCCAACTTTCAGAGACAGCGAGGGCTGGCCAGCCACGAGCAGCCAGATGGCAGGAGAGCATCCCACCGCTCCCAGTACCTGGGCCCTGCAAGTCCAGGAACCCTTTCAACCCGTGAGTCACAACTTCTCCAGATGCCACCAAATTCAGTCTCCAAACAAAACCCATGAGTGGAAGATGATGGAACACGAACCGCCCTGCGGGCCCCGTTTCCAGCTGGTGGTGCTGGAGGGCCTTCTGGGGGCCACCTGGCCAAGCAGTGTCTTTTCAGACATGGAGAGAATGGGGCCACAGGAAAGTGAGGAAGGGCCTGACATCCCAAGTCACCAAGTGGGTGCAGAATCTCCCCCAGAACGCAAGTCAGCTAAGCCCTGGGCTGGAAATACCTTTTGTATCCACAGCACTGACACACTGGTCCAAGCCAGGGGCGTGAACTTTACAAATGTCTTTTGACAGAACACATGACTATCTGAAGACACAGGCTTCTCAGTGGCAGCGGCAGTGGCAGCAGCAGCAACAGCAGCAGCAGCGAACGAAAATATGGACAGAAGGGCTGCCGGTGTCGGGCGCTCTGCCTGACGCAGGCACGTGCCTCAGCCAGCTCACAGTTCATATGGGGAGACAAGCAGCAGAACAAATCACTATCACAAAAATGTAATAATAAAAGTACAATAAAAGTACGTTCAGGTCTGCAACAAGCTTGCTATGAAATATAAATATAGGTGATGACTGCAAATGTATTATTATAATACAGAGATTAAAAGGTCCATAATAAACATACAGGGAAGGTGACAGTTATGTTTCTGAGGGTTTGGAGAGCTCGTCACAGAATTCGGGATTGCAGCCAGGTCTTCAAGGAGATCAGTCCCAGTTGAGAGGGGTGGAAGGGCCTCGTGGGCACAGGCAGAGATGGGAGGCACAGCCAGGAAGGTGGGGAGAGGGATCTGGGGGTAAAGACAGCATTGACTCTGGGGAGGAGGCAGGAATTGGTGGGACTCCCCAAAGCGACAAGGAGGCCAGGAAAGGTTTGGGGGGCCACAGACACCATCAGATCTCTCTGTCAGAGGTAGCTCTGGCTGGCAGGGGACAGACCCCGAGGTGGGGCCTGGGCAGGGCGGCTCCCCCAATGGCCCAGAGGGAGGCCAGGACCACATGGAGACAGCAGCTGTGCAGGCGGCAAGGGGCCACCCACCAGACACAGTGACCCGCTGAGTGTGGGGGTGGCGAGGGGCCGCTCAGGGGCCCAGCTTGGGTGGCTGGGTGCATCCTGACCCAGAAGCTAGACTCAGATCTAGAGAGGAGGAGTCATCTCGGGGGCAACAAGACCCGTGTCAGCCACGTGGAGCTGCTGGAGTCCTCAGGACACCCTGAAGGGCAGTTCACTCAGCAAAGGGACATGCTGGGAACCCCAGAAGAGGGTGGGGGCTTCAGAGGCAGATTCTCCAGACTGAGGCCAACTTTATTCTCCCCTTGGAGAGAGGAGGAATCGGCACAGAGGTTGAGATGCTTGCTTTGCTAGGATTTGAACCCAGGCCTCTGGATTCCCAAGATGGGCTCAGATTCCTGGTCTACACCTCCATCCATGGCAGAACTGGAGGAGGCAGATATTTAGGGGCAAGCGGAGGGAGAGGCTGGGAAGGAGGCACGTGGTAGGAGAGGCAAGGCCGGGGAGAACTGACACCAGGGGGTGTCAAGGGAGGGCTGGAGAGCACCACCCCCTGCTAGCAGGAGGACGGCGCGTCGTAAAGGTCACCAGGGTCCAGGACTTCAGAAGAGCAGGCTCAGCCGGGTGCAGGCTGCCGCGGAGGCCAGGAGGTCGGCGCTCCTTGGGAATGGTCTTCCACACATTTGGTGGGACAGCGAAAGTGCCAGAAGCTGCGAACAATGGCGGCCGGCGATCGGCGCTTCCTGAGTGCCGGGCCCCACACTGTATGTCTGGGATTCGGCTGAAGACTCTCAACCATCTCACGCAATCGGTGCGCCCGTGTTCCAGGTTCTGAGCCTGAGCACACGGAGGCTTTGAGAGGCAGGAAGCCACTCTGCTCAGAGAGCGGAGGAACAAAGCCCTGGGAATTAAGCCTAGGTGTCCAGGCTCCGGGGCCTGTTTTCAGAGTGGAGAGGCACAGGCTGTGCTTCTGGGGAGGGCGGGGCCTGGAAAGTGTGGCAGAATGATTCTGGGACTGTCTCCCTTGAACAATTTTTAACTGGGGGATATAAAACTGTTCTGAATAATTAAACAACGCTGACCATAAGCCATATCTGTAACCAGGGCCAGCTTTTAGTCCTTCAAATTAATCTTGAAAAAAATAGGCCGTTTTTAAAATGCGAAACTGTGTACAAGAGTAACTCTACTTAAATGTTTTATTGGGCAGTCTTTTTTTCAAATGCCTCTGATAAAATAAGCTATTTTTGAAATTTTTTGCATCTATTCACCTATATTCAGAAGAATGCAAAAACCTAAGCAATGGGAAGAATCCTCCTATAATTCAATGCCAGGTCCCAGAAATCCCTGGGAACTCAGATTTCAGCTGAAGGTGTGGCAGAGGTGCTTTTAGGCCTGCAGAGTTGGAGTTTCTGGCGGAGCAGTTGGGGGCGTGGTTAACCAGACCATTCTGCAACAGGGACAGGCCTTTTGCTTCCCAAGCTCTGGACTCAGTTACTTTTAGCCCATTTCAGATTCTCAAACTTCTGCACCACATGAATAAAACTGATCTCTGTTGAGAAACACATCATATTAAGAAATCAACTAGCACACACTAAGTGTTGAAGACTTTGCCTCAGTTAAGGTAAAATCAGCTAGTAGAGGCCTGTGGTGGTGATTGGAAAAAAACATATTAGAAGGCCGGTTGCGGCGGCTCACACCTGTAATCCTAGCACTTTGGGAGGCTGAGGCAGGCAGATTCCCTGATTTCAGGAATTCAAGACCAGCCTGGGTAACATGGTGAAATCCCGTCTCTACTAAAATACAAAAAATTAGCCAGGCGTGGTGGTGGTCGCCTGTAGTCCCAGCTACTCGGGGGGCTGAGGCAGGAGAATTGCTTGAATCTGGGAGGCGGAGGTTGCAGTGAGCCGAGATCACGCCACTGCACTCCAGCCTGGGCGACAGAGCAAGATTCCATCTCAAAAAAAACAAAAACAAAACAAAACAAACAAAAAACCATATTAGAGGGAAAAAGTAAATTTCAGGGGCAGGACAGGATGAGTGAACAGCCCAGGCTGGACAGGCGACTGGGGAAGGTCCTGGCTGGTGATCGGCGGAGCACCTGTGTATCTTCTCACGGGTAACACGTGGTGCAGCGCACGTGCTCCCAGGCCAGGGCCCCCTCCTCGTGCCGCCTCCGCATTTCCACCTGGACCTCTGTTTCTCTCTGTCCTGAGGCTTGCGGGCTCTCAGGTGTCTGCGTTCCGCCGTGAGGTGAGCCGGAGTCTCTCACCCGCTGAGTCCTGGGGAAGGACTCACCCTTCCGGTGGTTGCCTGGCTCAGCCCATGTACAGTCAGGGTCCCGAGGGCAGGTGGGAGTGGCTGCTGCAGGCGGGTTCCAGTCCACACACCGGCACATAACAGAGAACACAGCACCCGCATGGCTCAGCGGCAAGCACATGCTGAAGAGGAAGGGATAAGTGGTCAGCGGCTCCGTGAACGAACTCCAGGGCTAAATTTCAGTGGTCCCGCCTTGCGCAGGTGCACAAATACAGCTTGTCCTACATAGCCCAATCTTCCCACACGCAGTGGCTGCTCATTCACACAGAAAGACATCCCCGCGGACTCCGCAGACCCAGCGCCTGGGTCTCTAGGAGCAAACAGAGGAAGGCAGTGAGGCAGCGGAGACACGGAGAATAGCGGGGTTTTTGGACTCAAGCCTGGAAAATGTGCACGCCTCTGCCTTCCCAGCTTCCAGCTCCCAGAGTGAGGGTGCTGTCAGCCAGCCAAGGATGACCCTCGAACCTTCTCGCTTTCTTGTCTCAAGGCCCCCACCTGCCTTTCAGGACCTCGGCCTCCTCCTGGGGGAAACCGTCCCCCTGTTCACATGCCTCCTAGATCTGCCAGGGGAAGGACGTTTGCCAGACCGTCCTCTCACCCTCCAGCTCCCCCTACACTGGAACACAGACACCTGGGAGCCCGCAGGCCTCAGGACAGCACACAGAGACACAGAAGTCCAGGCCGAAATGCAGACCAGAACAAGGAATAGGCCATGCCGGCCAAGCCCCAGGTTCCTTTTGAGGAGACACACAGGTGCTCGGCCAGTCATCAGCCATGACCAGTGATATCCCCACTGGGCACAGTGAGGGCGCTGGGCCTGAAGGCCGTTCACAAGCACAGCTCTGCTGTCCACTGAGAGAGGTTTACCAGGAGTCCGAATGCTCCCGATAGGGTCAAGGTGGCCTCGCTGATCTAAGAGCACCTGGAGCTGGGGACGGCTCTGGAAAACGTGTTCGAGATCTCCTGCATCAGACTCTAACAAAAGGCTGCAATTCCTGACATTTCATTTTTGAGATCAGACTGCGAATGTCATGATCCACAAATCTAATCGACGTCCTCCGTCTAAAAGTGGTGAGTGAACTGCAGAACTGAGAGCTGGACCACGCCGAAGCTCGGGGGATCCGAGAACAGGAGTGAAAGTGCACGGATTCTTATCAGCCCACAAATAGCTGGCAAGGTCCCGGGGTGCAGGTGAGACTACCCCGTGGCATCTGAGAACTTTAAGGAGTCGAGTGTCTCAGTGCTGTTTGTGATGACGGTGGGCAGAACGATTTCAATCTGGGAAGGGCAGACCCTGGGAGAACAGATCCCTCAGAGCCTTCTCAGGCTGTCTTTGATGCGAGAGCTTAGAGACTAATCCCCCTGCCCCAGAAGACTCGCAGCCTCAAGGGTCAAGTAAAGAGATACAGAAATATAGTCGTGATTACTCAATTTTTAAAAATTCGGCATTCCTGCAATAAAACCCCGTTTATAAACTGTAGCATGCTCCAACAAGTCTTATGGCATTTGATTTTATTTTCAATGTGTTTTTGAATATTCTATATTTTCCTAAACAGTGAATTTTTTTCCAGAACTAGAAAATGACATGAATGAGAGTTGGCCACACATGCACACACATTTCTGGTCATACCTCTGGAACAAAAACCCTAAGTGGGGAAGGATCACCTGGATCGTGTGGCTTTAGAATGCGTTCCCTCTTTTTTACAAGGCTTGTGCAATCACGGGCTCTCAGTGGCCGTCTCCTAAGTGAGGATCTGATGGGGAGGTGCCGGACTTTCACCCAGGCTCTGGAGGGTGCCTGCCCCGCGCAGGCCGGGCTGTGCTCTCACTGTGCCGGTCCTGCACAGAGCAGCGGTCAGCGTCTGTGGGGATACAGGCTGGAGTGGCCACAAGCATGGCAGGTGGCCTGGCTGACCCCAGCCCAGCAGGCTCCTGGCTGTGTGGCATCCCCTGGTGCTGCCACCTCCCTGACCACGTGCAGAGGCCAATGCAGGCCTTTGCTCCGGATGCTCCACTGCCCCAGGTGAACCTCGCTCTCCAGGGATGTCTTTAAGAACGTATCCTCCACGCAGCTGTCCTCGAAAACTAAGCCCTGGGAGCAGGCTCCCCCTGGCCCATTTGCACCTCTGTGAAGGCACAGGCCAGGCTGGGCAGCCTCCGCACAGGCCAGGCTGGGCAGCCTCCACCCAGGCAGCTCTTCTCTCCAGCCAGCCGGGCACCCTCGCCGACATGTGGGTTCTTACACTTATATATCATCCTTGGCAATCCATTTCTCATCTATAAAATGGGCTGGTACTACCTGCCCTGCAAGTGGGAGAACACGTAGCAGGTGCTCACTTAATATTAAGAAATCTGTAATGAACGCACTGAGTATCAGAGCATCAGAGCCGTCATTTACAAATGTGGCCACCAGCCTGTGAGGGGTGGAATCCTACTCCATGTTACGACTGCAATGGGGCCGTAGAGGACTATTCACTGCAGCTTAGATAACTCAGGTAACTATGAAGGAATAAATACAAATATAATTTTATTTGAGATGAGACAACTCAACAACAAATATCTATCATGCGCAAAGTGAGCACGGAGCTCTGCTCTGGACCCAAGAAACACAGGGATGGGTGGGGGACAGTTTGGGCTCTGGAAGAGCAGGCTGGTAGTGGCTTTAGGGTCTTTGATATTTATATATCTGGTATACACATATTATACACACCCACCATCTACAGTTTATGTACATATGGTACACACGTCTATGTGTATATATATGTGTGTATATATAAATATATGTACCATATATACATGCAGATACACATATACACACACTGCTTCTCTAAGGAGGGCCACCCTTGTCCCAAGTTTGCCCGAGTCATGATTTACTGAATTCATGGTTTGAGGGTGGAGATTTTACACTCACATTGTTCCTACCCAGTCCACGATTCAGAATTCAGTGTAATTCGGGGAACTGAATGACAGTCCAATCAAACCTGGCTCTTCTTTTGGGCTGGACTTCTAAGATTGCCTTCAGGAGTCCTCTGTGGGATCCAGGGCTCCAGGGATGGCCACTTCCTGCCCTATGATGCCTGCTGCCACCCTGGGAATGTGTGACCAGGACAGACCCAAGGATGACACTGGAATTTTTTTAAGAGAACATTTACAACCATTTGCGTGTCAAAGAACATCTCCAGTCTCCTCCTCTCTGCTAGAATCAGCCTGGACAGTCATTGGACAGTCATTGGTGGGAATCTCATATGCACGTGTGACATGCATAGCTGTGTATTTTTCCAAATATTCACATTTACTTCTTCATGAGTTGCAACAATGTGCCTGAGTTTGAAAGCCAGAAATGACTGATTTTGGTTGAAATATGGCAGAGCTAAGATCTAGGGATCCTGAACAGGACTTCGCCGTTATTATGCAAGCTGCATAGTGAACTGAAGTCTCCAAATGCTTGCTACAATATTTCTGACTAAATCAGGGGCTACGACTTCTTATACTCCTTACGTGGGAATCATCCTTCCCTTAAATGGCCATTTTTAATGCATGTAATTACCACTTAAACTTCATCTCAACATCCTTGAGTAATTTCTTTTTCTAATACAGACCCCATGAATATACAGAGTGGTGTCAAAGTCGATGTTTATAAGGGAATCCAGCCATCTACTTTCAATCCTTGGTCCAGAAATCCACCTCCCTCCCAGGTTGTCTTTAATCAAGCTTTGTCAATAAATAGATGTGATGCAGATGTTCTGTGCAGTTTTAAAGAATTCAGGTTGAATCTGCTTTAAAACAAAGCACGGCCCTGCAATCAAACAAGAAGGATGAAAGTGAGTAGAGGGAAGAACACTTCAACAAAACCTGAAATGGAGACAGGACTCTGAAAACAGGGCAGAAGACCTTGAGCCAAAGATAAGAATTCAAATAATGCTTAGGCAAAGTGCAAAATGGTTACATCTCTCAACATCCTAACATTTGAGTTACTTTAAAGAAATCTGGCATACAGAGCCACATTTAGTAAATAACAAATGAAGCTATGGTTACACCTTGGGAACATTTTGTGATTTGTAAAAAACTTGAGTGAAAAGTGTCTTTCGGAACTGAGCTCCTCTCACATGAATTTTAAATGGCCCACCCGTTTCACATGCAAAGTCTGCCTGCATAAGGCTTTCAGGACAACACGAGAGGCGGCCGTGGGTTATGAGATGGTTTTCCTGCTCATGTCAGTGCTGTGTCAGGCAGAACAAGTTAGGCTTCACGCTGCAACAAAGAAGCCCCTGAATCTCAGGAGGTTCATGCAGCAGTCGTTTGCTTCTTGCTCATTCAGGTTGGCAGGGACTCTGCTCCACGCAGTCACGAAGGGACTCAGGCTGGTAGAGCCTCCACAGTCTTGAGAACCTGTGGCCTCTTCAGGCACTTGGGGCAGCAGAAGAGACCTGACGTCCTGCACACAGCTTCTTCTGAACTTTAGCCTGGAAGCTGCACCGAGGCTTCCTCCCAAATCTCATTGGCTGGAACTAGTCCTATGGCCCTGCCTAACCACAGGGGCTCTGAGGAGTGTGAAGGGAGAGAGTCGACTTTCCAGAGGACCACCAAGTCTGCCTCCAGTGCCAAAGCAAGGGTTTTAAAACAAAGGATTGTCTAAAACAAACAAAAAAGTAATTTGTAGATGGCATTTGAGAAACTGATAATTTAATTGCATTAATTTCAGCCAAATGCCAGGATTTGATTCCTAAACATGCCCAGGGCACCAGAATCTGGCCGGAAGAGTGTAAGTCTCATGGGGAAAGAGACAGAGAGAGCGAGATACTGAATGAGCCCATGAAAAAGCTTAACTGACCTACATCAACAGAGACACAGGATTAAATTGATAATGAGGGAGTCGTACTCATTCAGTTACCTTCATGTTTTATTAAGATGATGTGGTGGGGTGGAAGAGAGGAAATGAGGGTTATTACCGGGCGCCCCTCTGTGTCCTCTTCCTCCTCTAAGGGGTGGGACACCGAGATGGTGTTGGCAGTGTTGCTGGTGTGCATGCTCCACTGGGCATGAGTACCCTTAGGAGCTCAAATGATAGAGTCAGCACCAGAGTCTCTGCTTCATGTTCCAAGACCTTGGTGAAGGTTCATTTTCTGAACTTGAAAAAACAACTCCAAGATGTATGAGTGGATTCGCCTTTCCCCAAAGTCCTCTTGTGGCATCTCTGTCCTGGGTTGTTACAAATGATTCAAGCATGTTCTTAGCCATTGCTAATGTGCTCACTCCCGCCAACGTTTCGTGGGCTGTCTTGACCAAACACTGCCCCCTCTTCCTCTTCGCTCTGTTTGGTAGCAGAAGGTCTGGCAATGGCAGCATCATTCAGAATCTCCTCTGGTGGGAAGAGTCTCTTGTTACTGGAAATCTGTGGTGAGAACAGAGCCCCCACTGCCCAAACACATGGCCCTTCCAACGTTGCACCCCCACCTGCCCTCTGTCTCCACCCTTCGCTCCACTCAACCGGTAGGTGGCTCCCAGAATCACTCACCGAGATAAGCACTGGAGCCTCAAACCTCCCATGCCCCCGGGGCTCCAGACAATAGCCCAGAAGTGTACTTCCTTAGATTTGGGGTGAGGTGAGCTTGCGTTGGGGGAGGGAATACCACGTACACATGGGCTCATCTTTAAGGCACTAACAACCCTTACGGCATCTTCTGAGAGGAAATTCGAATTCTCCCTCATACTGTGTACGAGGGACCAGAGAAGTTTCATAAATGAAACTTTTAGCAAAACAAAAGGATGCAGAAAGAAACCACTTTTTCCCCAAACAGTCTACCCTCAGTTGTGGGTATCTGAACTGAGTAGAAAACATAATTAACACTAAGAAGAGCTCTGCCCTGGGGTTTTTGGTGCTTCAGAAGATAATGTCCTTTCCCTGCAGCCTGGGACTCAGAGCCCAGTAGAGGGTCAGGCAGTCATCGTGGGAGCTGTTCTGTTGTTTGTGGAACAAAGTTCACGGTGCATTTTATATCTTAGTGAGAAAATCATCAGTAATGTGATTTTTTTTTTTTTTTTTTGAGATGGAGTCTCACTCTGTCACCCAGGCTGGAGTGCAATGGCGCAATCTCGGCTCACTGCAACCTCCGCCTCCCAGGGTCAAGAGATTCTCCTGCCTTAGTCTCCTGAGTAGCTGGGATTACAGGCGTCTGCCACCATGCCCAGATAATTTTTGTATTTTTAGTAGAGATAGGTTTTCACCATGTTGTCTAGGCCTCAGTACAGCCTCTGGGCCTTCTCTGGGGGTGCAGACTGGAGCTGGTGAGCTCCAGGCCCCAAACATCTCAAAGTGCTAGGATTACAGGTGTGAGCCACCACGCCTAACCAGTAATGTGATTTTAAAACTGAGATTACAAATATACTTTAAAATGTATAAAACCCATTGGTTCTCTTTAAGATGTGATCCTGATAAGCCTCCCAGTCATACTCCCTTCATCTCCCCAGGGCTAGCCAAAGCATTTATAATGTGGCTTGCAGGACTCTTGGGGCTCCTGATGGTGAATTTGTACCATCACTCTCAATGGCACCTGGAATCTCTCCTGCTCTGCTCACAGGCACCAAACACCCACAAGACACTGGTACGGTGCAGTGTCTAGGACCAGACATCTTCTGTGTGCTATGGCTGACGCAGTAGACGTCAAGGACAGTAGATAGCTAGCAAGAAATAGCAGACTCATCAGTGTACATTTCTGGGCTGATTCTTCCCTTGGTCAAATGTGCACTGTAAAGCCACAAAAGGCCAGTTTTTTCATTTTCCACCACTTTGCCTGGACTAAATAAAGCAAGCTGAGTCGGGCAGCATGACGGCTTTGGCCAGGTACTGTGTGGCACTGAAGGAGGAGAGAGGGAAGACTGACCACCATCCAGGGGAGCCAGGCCCTCCAGCCTGCAAACGAGGCAGGGCGGGAATCAGGGTTCCACTCAGAAGACCCGGCCATGGGGACGCTGAGAGGGAGGGGGCACCTCATGCTCACAGTGGTGCAGCCTCCCTGCATCTGCACAATCTGGGAGGGCACTGAGGGCTGAGAGGCATGAGAAGGTGCAGAAGCTCCTAACGGACCAGGGCTGACCCCCACCCGCTCCAGGCTTCTCAGGAGAAACGTGTCTCCACGAGCGTGTGGACATTCTCTTCCATGGGGGGACGCTCCACTGATGCCCCTGGCCTGCTCTGCCCCTTACCCACACCACTCAGGGGAGCTGGAGTGACCTGCAGACTGGTGGGTTTGGGAAGAGTCAACTGGGTGTGCGCAGCTCAGCCCTGGAATCTTCCTCTGGCAGCAGTGAGCCGGCCCCAGGGAGCAGGCACTTTCCGGCCATGCTTCCGGAAGGCTCCCTGTGCTCCTGACCTGCGGGAGGCCTGCGAGGTACATTTTGCCAGCACTGGGGGCTAGGTCTGCTGGACCGTGGGACAGCAGCAGCCGGACCCTTCATCTGAGCCCTTCTCCATGATAGAGCTATGTTCCATGGGCCTCGCCTCTGCTGCCTGCCCCAGCCCCCTGGCAGGTGTGAAGGTGCCGTTCTCACCTCGCCAGCCCAGTCCGGTGGCCTGCGGGTGGCAACCACACCCTTGAACGTGCCCGTGAATCAGACCATGCCTAGAATCTTGTTCTGGGGCTTAAACCTGTACTTCTATGGCATGGCCAGGCAGGGGAGGGGAAGAAGCCCTACACGGAGAAGAGCCCTAGATTCAGAACATGCCCATGGCATGAAGCCACTCGCATGGGAAGCGGCCCTCCGGCCTCACCTGTGCCACTTGCTGTCTGGGGACCTTGGCCTGGTCTTGGCCTCACTGGGACCTCACTTCTCCAGGTGAAGGTGGAGAGCCCTGACTCAGAGTCTTGCAATCCCAGGCCCAGGAGCCTTGGGATCCCTGGGGCAGACTTGGCAGCCCACTGGCACTTCAGCCCAGGCACAACTGGCAGCCAACGACCCCATCTTAAAGAACTGGCTTGTAAGTGCCGGCCCCATTGTTTCCCAGAAGATGTTCAGCTGAGTAGGCACTCGGGGTGCCTTCTGTGGAGGGGCTGAACTTTGAGGACAGATTTCCGAAGGGAGGAAGGCTGGAAGAATTCGGATTAACCCTAGGGGAATTTGGATTAACCCTAGGGGAATTCAGATTAACCCCAGGGGAAAGGCCAATCACATTTAATGCAGAGGAGAAGGAAGGACGGAAACCACAGCGCGGCTCACGACTCCGGCTTCACCCAGCGACTCTGATCGGCCATGAATTACTGAAGCCTTGCAGATGCAGGAGGAGAGAAAAGCCACAGTTATGTGCATCTTACAGCTGGGAAACCAGCAACAACATAACCCTGTCAGCTTTTCATTCCTGAAAACCGCCTCCCTCTCCGCAAGGCATGGAATCAACATGGTCTTCCCCAGGGTCCTCTCAGGATCCTTGGAGCTGGGAATTCTTCTTACTCAACTCCCTCCGTGTGCTCGGAGCCCCTTCCTGGCCAGGCTTCTAGAAAATTCTTCTGCTCAAATGCTAAATGTTTTCCCTGATCTGTCTTCAAAATCCCCATCCTTCTCCTTCTATTGGAGTTAAAGGATAGGGAGTGATAAGGCTGGGCTTGGGCCATCTCCGCCTCGCTCTGCAGCTCTGGCATCTCCCGTCCCTTCTCCCCTCACTTTCTGTTTTTTTCTTCCCTTATTTTTCCTGTTTAATGTCAAGCGAGCCAGCTCAGCTCCTCAGAGACGACCAGCTACAGCAGCAAGCTGAGTGGATTTTAAATCAGCAGAGAATTTTTAAAATGAGCAATGTGGTGAACGGAGCCCATCTGCAGCCCTGTGGGGCCCTGGCTGGCTCCCACGGTGTTCGTGGATCCTGCATGTCTCCACGAGGATAAACAGTCCACGAGGGGTGACTGCCTGGGGGGAGGAACCGTCACCAGCCCAATCCTGGTAATAAAACAAGAGTCACATAAACACCGCGGCTGTCCTCCAAGGAACTTCGAGCACTACCCAAGTAAATAAAAAAGCAGAAAATGGAGGTTCAGAAACGCAAAGGCCCTGCTCGGGTTTCTAGAAGAATTCACAGAAAAACAGAACCTGGAGGAGAAGGAATCACAGAAGAAACATTCATGTCCATCTCACCCCCAAACTGGAGGGAATGATGTCAAGAGCTGCCCTCAAATCAGGAAGGGCTCAGACATCTGCACCCTGGACCACACCTCCCTGACCTACATCCATCCAGGGGGCACACCTGGACCACGGTCATCTGCCCCTCAGCTCTGACTGCCCCAGCTTCCAGCAGAGCAACCCAGAAAGCATCCTTTGACTTTGTTGAAAGAAGCTTTGATCATGGAGGACTTTTAAAATCAAGATATCACTTCCCAGGACTCCAAGCAGACAGGCTCCCAGGAAGTTCCCTCATCATGGGACAAAAGGAATATGTAAGTTACAAACGCATTTGCTCCTTTCAAGAAGGAGTTTTCCCCATGAATTTAAGTGTTTTTACAGATCATTAACTCCTGGTCTGGAAGGCAGGGCACCAAGGCAAGCTAAGCTGGAGTGTGAGTCGGTGCTGCCTTGGAGGCCAATCGGAGTCAAGGTGAAGAGGCTCAAATGATCCTAACATGAGTCAATGTTACCCCAAATTAAATTTACACATGCTTCTCCAGAGCTGTCTGTTTTGTAAGGCAGGGCACCCTGGCACAGCACAGGACACAAGGCGTTTGCATTTCTGTCCAGGCTGCAGTCTAAAAGTGGAAAAAAGTACTGATCTGTTTTCCAGCCACCACCCTATTGAATGGTCTCAGAGGTTTTGGGTCCAGTTAACACAGGTAGGCACTGGATGGGCTGGAAAGAGGCCAGGGACTCCCACGCTCTCGGGAAGCACAGGACAGTGCACTGTGCAGACAGCAGACCCTCAGGCTCAGGAGACCTGGGCTGCTGCTGGGAGAGGAGGGAAAAGAGCCCCCCAGGGAAAAGAAGGCAAGTGGGGCTTGGTGTATGAACAGGGACCTGGGAGCCAGAGGCCCAGGGTTAAATCTGACTTGCCATGTGCCCCTAAATAAGACCATAAGAGAGACACAGAGACACAGACAGAGAGAGAGAGACAGAAACAGAGTCAGGCAGACAGACAGGGACACAGAGACAGACACACAGAGAGACACAGTCAGACAGAGGAAGAGAGACAGATGGAGAGAGAGACAGGAAGAGAAAAACCAGGCAGTCCCTTCACAGAGTGGCTGTGATGCCCACGGGCTCTCATGGATGGAAAACCCAGGCACACAGCAGGTGGCACCTTCTCCTCCCTCAAGCCCTCGTCATGTCCAGTGTTCCCATCTAAAGGCCAAGTGGCTCCTCCGGATAACATTTCCTTATGTAGGGATTTATAGATGCAGCATTCCTGCTGGGACTTGGGCTGTGCAGGACTGCAGATGTGAGAGACGCTCAAGAGGGGCCGAGATGGGGATGCAGACAGCTCAGACCCAGGACACCAGCCCAGCCCAGCCAGAACTAATGCTGGCACTAATACTAACACTAATGCTAATAAATACTAACTAATGCTAATAAATACTAACACTGACACTAATACTAATAAATTCTAACGCTAATACTAATAAATACTAACACCAACACTAATACTAACAAATACTAACACCAACATTAATACTAACACACTAATAGATACTAACACTAATACTCACACTAACACTAATACTAATAAATACCGACACTAATACTAACACTAACACTGACACTGACACTAATAAATAGTAACTAATACTAATAAATACTAACACTAACACTAATACTAACACTGACACTAATGCTAATATTAACACCAACACTAACACTAATACTAATAGATACTAACATTAATACTAATGCTAACACTAATAAATACACTAATACTGACACTAACACTAATACTAATACTGACACTAACACTAAGACTAACAGTAACACTAATACTAATAAATACTAACACTAATACTAACATAACACTAATACTAATACTAACAGTAATACTAATACTAATAAATACTAACACTAACACTAATACCAATACTAACACACTAATACTAATGCTGACACTAACACTAACACTGACACTAATAAATAGTAACTAATACTAATAAATACTAACACTAACACTAATGCTAATAAATATTACCAACACTAACACTAATAAATACTAACACTAACATTAATACTAATGCTAACACAAATAAATACTAACACTAATACTGACACTAACACTAATAATAATAAATACCAACACTAACACTAACAATAACACTAACACTAATAAATACTAGTACTAACACTAATACCAATAAATACTAACACTAATACTAATAAATACTAACACTAACACTAATACTAACACTGACACTAATGCTAATATTAACACCAACACTAACACTAATACTAATAGATACTAACATTAATACTAATGCTAACACTAATAAATACACTAATACTGACACTAACACTAATACTAATACTGACACTAACACTAAGACTAACAGTAACACTAATACTAATAAATACTAACACTAATACTAACATAACACTAATACTAATACTAACAGTAATACTAATACTAATAAATACTAACACTAACACTAATACCAATACTAACACACTAATACTAATGCTGACACTAACACTAACACTGACACTAATAAATAGTAACTAATACTAATAAATACTAACACTAACACTAATGCTAATAAATATTACCAACACTAACACTAATAAATACTAACACTAACATTAATACTAATGCTAACACAAATAAATACTAACACTAATACTGACACTAACACTAATAATAATAAATACCAACACTAACACTAACAATAACACTAACACTAATAAATACTAGTACTAACACTAATACCAATAAATACTAACACTAATACTAATAAATACTAACACTAATACTAATACTAACAGTAACACCAATACCAATAAATACTAACACTAACACCAATACCAATAAATACTAACACTAACACTAACACACTAATACTAACGCTAGCACGAGTATAAATAAATACTAACACTAATATCAAAACTAACACCAACACTAATACTAACACTAACACTCACACTAAATAACGCCCTACAATGTTGGCAGCCCAGAGCCCCGTGAAGGTCCCTCTCTGCCTGCAGGGCAAGCACTCTCCATAGGGAATTCATTCCTCCTGGGTTTTGAACCATGCCCCAGCTGGCAGTCTTAGCAGATCCTCCACATAAACTATCTCTGCCTCTCCCTCTGTGCAGAATGCTCTCTGCACCTCTGAGTGCTGGTCAGTGCTGCCTCCTCTAGGAAGCCCTCCCTGACCACACCACACCAGGACAGCCAATCATGCCCTTCTGCAGGTCCAGGGAACTTCCCACAGGTACTGCCTGTGTGGGGCAAGGTCTGGCAGGGCTGTCCATGTCCACAACTCAACAGCTGGTGCTTGACCCAGCTGGTGCAGGATGGCCAGGGGATCCTGCTAACCACTAACTTGACACTAGATCCCTGGTTTCTGGGCAAGTGATTTGCAGCGCATGCCTTCCTAGCTGGGCATGTCAGAATAGGGGATGGGTAGTGGGGCAGAGCAAGGAAGGGGCATTTTAGGAAACTCCACAAGTGACCCTAAGGAGTGGTGAGTGTGGCCTAGTGGCCAGGTAGTCCCGGCTGGAGGGAGGTGTGCATTTGCTGGACAGGATGACCACATGACCCAACATGTAGAATGAGAAGCTTTGGGAGTGAAAGGGGCACTATTAATAATCACGACTGGAGAACCAGAGGAAACCAGAACAGTCGTGGGCTGACAGGGAGGGACTGTCACCTTTTCAAGAGGTCATCCACTTCTGATGTTCTACCCCCACCCCCACTCAGCCCAGCAGAGCCCTGATTATTGGTCTCATCAAGAAGGTACTGACTCCAAGCCTCTCTAAGACACATGGGTCTAGGTAAGGCAAGGTCAGAGCCCCACCAGGAGGGGCTCACAGTCTCAGAGGGGACAGAGCCAGGAAGGCTGTGTGTCCGCCCAGGACGGCCGAGACAACCTCAGTCAGCTTGCCTTTTGTGCTCGCTGGATTCTTCTCTGTATAAAGCATACATGCGACATGGTATTATACAATTAGAATTTTTTTAAACTATGGTCTCACTTTTCATCCTTGGGTGTTTGAGCCCTTCTGCACAATTACATGCCCTCATTGGTATGTTTAATTATCTGAGTTCTTACTGCAGGCTCCAACATTAACATTTAAAGAAACATTAGAGGAAAGTCAGCTCCTGAAGGTGGAGGACTATAAAGAGAGAACACACTGAGTTTCCAGCTGAAAGCACGGACCCCCCACTGCTGGGACAGCCTCCTCTCCTCTCCACTCAATTTGTCCCCATGGTCACAGACAGTTATTAGCGCCTGTGTTTCAGAATTAAATCTGTGCATTGCTATTGTTCTCAGAGAAAGGTTTGTGTTCTGCGTTACCTCCTGGAGGAATAAACTCCAGGTTAACATGAGGAGCACAACTTCACTGCAGAAAAAGATCAACAGGGGCTGCTACCTACACCATGCCAGAGCCCTACAGCAAGTGGCGAGAGGTGACCCTTGTCCCCACAGGCTGGCCTCTGACAATCACCAGGACCTGGGATGCCGAATGGGTCTGCAGATTCCCATGGCCTTAATAAGCTCTGGAGGCCATGCTGCACTAGGATGAGGAGCCGACATCCTCTTTTTCTCATCACACTCTGGCGTTTATACTCTCTGGTGGCCATTTCACTCTAGATTAGAAAATTGTAGGAAAAAGTAAAGTGTAACAATAACTGTAAAAGGCAAGAGTGGGCTGCCTGCAAGCCAGACCCAGATAAGTGAGCTTTGGGGTGGCTGATGTCCTGGGCCCCCACTGGTGGCACAGGGATCCAGGGGTTAACTATTGAATTGCTGGTGCGTGGACAGGGAGGGGTACAGTGGGGGAGAGGGCACCATGAGAGCTGTTTACCAACTAACAGAGAACATCAGCCTTTAACGACATCCTGGGCTGTTCTTGGGTAGACCTGCACAAAACCAGCCTCCAGGTCATTCCTTTTTGGAATTATGCTCCGCATAATCCACCGTCTTCATGGCCATTGTCTCCTTTACCCTGTACCTGAATAGGACAAACATCAGGGTTGTTCCTGAGCTCTCCACAGTTCCATTTCATTGCGTTTTCTGCCTGGCCCCCAGTGCACCCAGTAATTTGAATATTAAAGTTCTGGATTACAGTCCCTGGCAGCACAAAACCTCTCTCCTCACTTTTCTTTTTCATAAGTTTCTTGGACGTGTTTGCTCTCTTAGTCTTCCAGGTGCACCTGAAAATAATTTTATTGAATTAAACATTTCATTAAATATATAAATTAAATTGTAAAAGAAATGATATGTTCACAGTAGTATGTATTTCCAAACAGAGTCCTAATAAATAGAGCTCCTCATTCAAAAAATATTCTATTGGACTCTCTAGCTAAGAGATTTTTCTTCATAAAAGTCCTCCATATTTCTCACTAAACATATATAAGGATCTCATAAGCATAAATATTTTTGTTTGTGTGAATGACATCTTTTTGTTTCATTATGTGATTGAATTGCTTATTGCTGGTGTGTGTAAGAATGCTTGTGAAAAATTATCTTCACTTAGCAATTGCCTTCAGTCTAAATTGTTTCATTTGTTCTAAAGATTTTCAAATGATTTCTTTTTTTGATATGGGGTAGACAGCAAGGTTCTTAGTAGACAACTGTATCATCTACAAATGTTAATACTTTTATCTTCTGCTTGCCAATAGCCCTATGTCTATTTCTTTTTCATAATCCATATAGAATCATTCTTTAAAGTTTGAGACAATGTTACAAAACAGTATACTGGCGAGAAACCTGCTGACTTTTATACAAAAGACTTGAGTGCTACCTAGGATTTTGTTGTTGCTGTTTTGAGATGGAATCTTGCTCTGTCTCCCAGGCTGGAGCGCAGTGGCACGATCTCAGCTCACTGCAACCTCCACCTCCTGGGCTCAAGCAATTCTCCTGCGTCAGCCTCCTGAGTAGCTGGGACCACAGGTAAGCGCCACCACGCCCAGCTAATTTTTTGTATTTTTAGTAGAGACGGGGGTCTCAGCATGTTGGCCAGGCTAGTCTCAAACTCCTGACCTCAGGTGATCCGCTGAAGGTAAGGAAGAATCTCTTTATGATAGCTTATTGAGATTTTAAACATCAGACAGGGAGGTTTTAATAACAGAAATATGTTAAATTTTTCTCAGATGCATTTTAGTATCTCGAGTCGATTCCCTTTATTCCCTTTTTTGACTATAGATGTGCCTCATTGCATACATGAATCCAAGAATCTGAGCAATCTGAATGCTTTTGACACATATTGCCAAAGTGTGTCAAAAACCTGGCAAAGGCATCTGAATGCCCTGATATTCCACTAATAAATCCACCTTCTTCACAGCGCCCTATTCTTTTGGCATATTGCTGAGTGTACGTTTCTTATATTTTATCTAGAATTTAATCTAAGCTCCTACTGAGAGAGAGTTTCTCCTATCCCTGACAGGTTTTGGTAGATACCATGACAGATGCTCTGAGAGGCTTTCTCATCTTTATTTTTTCTAATCTAGCTGCTGCTGTGTTGGGGACTGTCCCCGAAGGCGGGACTTTGTCTCTGCCATCACTGCACCTTCGGCCTGACACAGCAGTGGGCTTAATAACTGAGTGGACAGTCCTAGAAAGCAGAAGGTGTTTACCCAGACAGGGAGCACTTGGAGCCTGCAGTCTCTTGTAGGGCCAGTTCAGGAGACACTTTGTAGTCATTTTTTCCCCTAAGTTTTATTCTTCCTAATTTCAAACTCCTTAGGAGTAAGGACAGTTCTGAGCTGCTGAGAGTCCCCTAGTGCCCTCTGCAGAGGCTGCCTGGGTGCCTGACTTGATTTCACTCTAGTGAGGTTCAGCCGTTCCTGAACTTCCCAAGCGGCTGTGTGGCCATCCGCCCTCCACCCACACCCACCCAACGGGGCAGTGACCGGTGCACTGGGAGGATTTCTGACAAGCACAGCTCACTGAGACAGATTTCCTTTCTGCCAGGGTCCCCCACGTCCACAGCTAGTGGGATGACGATGTGAACCCTGGCCAGGGCCTCGGGGTCCCCCACCCTCCCTGCACCCTGGCACCTGCTCCAGCCCTGCTGGATAGCAGAGCCCCACAAGCCACAGGCTCCCTCACCCGATTTATTTTTTCTCTATTGCATCAGAATCTTCTGAAGTAAACTTTCACTCGGGACAGAGCTGTGCTATTCCAGGGGTCTTTGCCAAGGATCTGTGAGGTAACCTTTCCATCTATTTATTTGTTTTTTTGGAACTTGGGGACAGGGGAGAAATGCGAAGAGACTCATGACCCCCAGAAACTCGGCTGAGTGACTGACATCATGGGAATTTGTCTGGCCTGATTTATGGCATTCCCGTGACCCCGGTCAGGGAGCTGAAGTTCACGGCACTTTCTTGGCTCCCATCTGTTTGTAAACGTCCAGCCCACTGGAAGCCAACCTCTGTTACAAGGTGATGTGCAACTCTGCATAGCTTCCCAACAAAGCAAACCAATGCCAGTAACGTGAAAAACAAAGCCACAGAGGATATACCCTTTACTGGGATGCTTGGCCAGCATCACATGGACTTCTAAATTTCCTCATCTTTGATCTTTTGGTTGAATCCATTTTCCGCTAGAGAGAAAGCTGCTGGAAGCTCAGTGACAAGTCTGACCCAGTGGGTGGTGCTGTTGGAGGAGTCTTGGAAGAGGCCGTCTTCTTCTTGGAGAAGACCCACAGCTGCACCTTCTGTCTCATCTGTGGTCAGGGCTCCTTAAAGGGCTGAGTGTCCACTATATCTCACCCCAGAGAAAAGAAAAGAGCTGGGTCCACCATGGCCTCAGACAGTGATGGACTCCAGATGTCCAATCTCTTCAGCCAGGGCTTGCCCAGTTGGGTCAAACCATTTAAGAGATGGGAAAGCTAATGAATGAATGTATTTCGTATTTTCTGCATTGTGTCCTGAGTCTTCTGGTAGCAAGAGAAAAATAAATCCTTCCAGCTGTGCCTGCTCTGCTGTCCTTCCAAACCCTCCAGCCAGCTTCCTCCTTGGTCAACTTCATTGTTTTTGTTCCTTTGTGCACTCTATATGAAGTCATCAACAGAGCCTGGAAGAGGACACATGTTCCACAAAGAAGGGGCCGTGTGGCAGAGAGGGAGGCACCAAAACATAGAACCTCACCCGAGAACTCACTTGCACCTGAAGGACAAATCAAGTACCCTGGGGAGCCCAGGCCCCTCTCCTACCTGAATCACAGGTGCACACCCAAGTGCTGTGGGGAGCCCAGGGCAGGCAACTCTTCTACCTGAATCCTGGGTAAGCATCCAAGGCAGAGAGCCCCTGTAGATTCTCCAAGAAACAAGCAAAGTACCAAGATTTGCATCTTTAGAGAAACTCCTCCAGGCCTTTTCAACGTGCTATGTCTGGTGAACGAATGTATGTACTATGTAATATTAAAGATTTTTAGTGGCCAGGAGGTGGGGCTGGTGCAGACCGGCATTCACCAGGGAGAGAGTCGTCCAACCAGGATACACATCATTTCGAAAGCTCGCTTTTTTATTGTGGAAGTCCTGGGATAACACAACGTCTCCTGGGCCTGCATCCTTAACATTTTTCTTTCTATTCTTTTGCAAAAGAAGAGCCTTAAGTAACTAAATTGGACATTTTAAGACACGATAACATGGAACTAAAGAGAAATACTGCACGTGAAATTAAGATGCCCACAGCAGGAAAGTTGAGTTTTTAAACAAATTAGGTTTTCATGTCCTGGATTCCGTAAAGGATGAGGATTGAATAAAAGCATCTGGGTAGCCGTGTTCCCAAGTTGTGTTTCCCTTGAACAGTGGTAGCTGCACTTCCCTGAGTCACCAGCCCTGGTCCCCAAATTCTCAGGAGAGTGTGGTCCTCTTTGCACATGGGATCCCATCCCTCATCATTGACAGACAATCGCCATCCCCTCCATCAACATCCTGCCTGGGATGCAGCTCAGGCCCCTTGTCTTCCAAACAGGCTGCTAACTCCTCTAACGCATGAACCCCATCTCAGAGAGGTACAGAGCCGCAAGTGAGTTTTTTCCTTGATGGAACATGGATCAGCAAGTTTAGAGCAGGCCACCAACCCAGTTTCGAGCTGATGCACAATGACGTTCCCATTTCCAGTCTGGATTTGGAGGCAGGGACGGTAAAGGAGAAGAATCACAGGCCTCCAGCTTCTCTTGAGCAAGACACAAACAAAGGCTTTTTATTATTTTGTTTCTGGTATCGAGATGTTCCGGAACGTACCCTCAGGCCCACTCATCAAGCCTTTCCAAGACCAGCGTGACTCTCGGCCCAGATTTGCTTCTGACTCTCAGCCCAACTTTGCTTCTGTCCTCCCCTGGCACCGTGCATTGGGCACAGGGAGGAGCGCTCGGACCCACCTGCCCGTTGTGTATTCCTTGTGCACGGTGTGCACCTTCCTGAGAACATCTCACTCAGCAGGACCCCGTAGCTCTTGTGTGCGCTCATGCGTGCACATCTCTGCAGCTCCCTTCTACTCTGAAGCCATCCCCCTGCCCACTCCCAACCCCCAGAGCATACGCCAGGCTCTGCGCACCTAATCCTCAACCTGGGCAGGACCCCTCACTCCATTCATTCTCTGCTCAAGCGTCATTTCTTCAGATGTCCTTCCCCATCCTCTTGCTTCCTTCTCAGCACCCATGGTCAGCAAGCCCACATCTGCTGTCTTGTGTGTTTCCTGCCTGCCCTCCCCTCCCCTCCCATGGCAAGCTTCATGGTGACAGGAACTGCCTTGACTTCTTCCCCGCCACATCCCGGTCTCTAATGTGGAGCCCAGCACGTGGGAGGCTCTCAACAAGTATTTGTTGATTGAACGACAGATCCACCAAAGTGCCACCCCTTGGTCTGGCCTCCCTACTGTGTCCAGGAGGAGGCATCCTTGTCTTCTTTGTTTGCTAACCATTGTTGTACAACAGCTACATGCAGTGTTATGAATGGCTGTCAGTAGATTTGTCTCCTTGGCTGGATGTGGATGGTGAGTCCTCCATTGTCTCCTTGGCTGGATGTGAATGGTGAGTCCTCCACAGGAGAGACAGATTCTAGTCATTCTTATGTCTCCAGCACCCAGCAGAAGGACTGCAAACAGCCAGGACTCAGTAAATGTGAGGGCAACACGAAGGACCCTGCAGCTGCCCCACATGATACCAGCTACGCAAAACCATCTGCGGAGCGTGTGCCTCTGGGCCGTATGCCCGTGACCTCCAGACTTTCCATCTGCAGAATGGGAACAACACTGGTCACCTGTCCAGTAAATCGTCCTGGTGCCAGGGGTTTAGTGGCAACTGTACCTGCTCCGTGGCTAGGCCTGTGCCCTACTTCCCCCCATGGGTAGATGCTACGTATTTAATAACTCACAGCTTCAAAAATGCCTGAAAGCTTTCATCAGAATGACCTTGAAGACTCATATTTGTATCAAATTCATGGACTATTAACCCCAATTCTTGGAAAAGAAAGAGCATCGCCCTTCCCTGCACAGCGTTGGCCAAAATGTTACTAGATCTAAATGCAGACAAACAAAAAGACACTCAACAGGACCCAATTTTTACAAGGGTTTGGATTCAACCTTCTTGAGAATCTGTAAGCATCACTTCCAAGTAGAACGTGCTGGAAGCCCTGATGTGCACAGGGTGGTGCACCTGAGACCACTCCTCTGGCCTTGCAATCCCCCTACACTGGCATGGCCCTCATCCTGGCCTACATAGCTCAGCCCAGTGTCCAGCCCAAATCTCACCCTGGAACACCACCCACTTGGACTAAGGTTAAATGAGCAACAAGTCTGAGGGCATAAAGTGGCCCGGGACTCTTGGCCAGGGACTGCTAGTGGGATAGAGAGCATGGGGGCAGGCAGGACCCACTGTGGGACCCCCCCAGCCCAGGAGTCACCTGCCTTCCGGTTAATATGGCAGAAACATCCCCGGAAATAATTTAATCCTGGTAAAATACACGACATAAAATTGACCGTCTTAACGTTTTGAAGCGTAGAGTTCTGTGGCATTAAGGACATTCACGCTGCTGTGTGACCTTAACCACCATCATCTCCAGAACTCTTTTTCTCCTCTCAGACTGAGACTCTGTCCCCACTAAACACGCACTTCCCACTCCTCCCCTCGGCCCCCGGCAGCCATCGTTCTGCCTTCCGTCTCTATGAATCCGGCTGCACGAGGTTCCCCGTGTAAGTGGAGTCATAGAGTGTTTGTCTGTGACCAGCTTAGTTCACTCAGCACCGTGTCCTCAGGGTTCATCCATGCTATGGTCCCTATCGAGACAACCTTCCTTTTTAAAGGCAGAATGACATTCCATCGTGTGTGTGTGTGTGTTGGGGGGGGGTGATGGTGTGTGTGGGGGGGGTGTTTGTGTGTGGGGTGTGTGGTGGGTGTGATGTGTGTGAGTGGGGTGTGCTGTGTGTGTGGTGTGTGTCAGAGTGGGGTGTGTGTGTGGTGTGTGGGAGGATGTGGTGTGTGTGGGGTGTGGGGTTTGGGGGGTATGTGTGGGGTGTGGTGTGTGTGTGGTGTGTGTGGGAGGGATGTGGTGTGTGTGTGGTGTGTGTGGGGTAAGGTGTGTGTGTGGCGTGTGGGGTTGTGGTGTGTGTGGGGTGTGTGGTGTGTGCATGGGGTGTGTGGTTTGTGTGTAGTGTGTACTGTGTGTGTGGGGTGTGGTGTGTGGGGGGTTGTGTGGCTTGTGTGTGGTATGTGATGTGTGTGGGGAGTGTGTGGGATGTGGTGTGTGGTGTGTGCATGGGGTGCGTGGTTTGTGTGTGGTGTGTGCTGTGTGTGTGGGGGGGTGTGGTTTGTGTGTGGTATGTGATGTGTGTGTGGGGTGTGTGGTGTGTGTGTGGGGTGTGTGGTGTGTGTGGGGTGTGGTGTGTATGGGGTGTGGTGTGTGTGTGTGTGTGTGTTGGGGGGGGTGATGGTGTGTGTGGGGGGGGTGTTTGTGTGTGGGGTGTGTGGTGGGTGTGATGTGTGTGAGTGGGGTGTGCTGTGTGTGTGGTGTGTGTCAGAGTGGGGTGTGTGTGTGGTGTGTGGGAGGATGTGGTGTGTGTGGGGTGTGGGGTTTGGGGGGTATGTGTGGGGTGTGGTGTGTGTGTGGTGTGTGGGAGGGATGTGGTGTGTATGTGGTGTGTGTGTGGTGTGTGTGGGGTAAGGTGTGTGTGTGGCGTGTGGGGGTGTGGTGTGTGTGGGGTGTGTGGTGTGTGCATGGGGTGTGTGGTTTGTGTGTAGTGTGTACTGTGTGTGTGGGGTGTGGTGTCTGGGGGGTTGTGTGGCTTGTGTGTGGTATGTGATGTGTGTGGGGAGTGTGTGGGATGTGGTGTGTGGTGTGTGCATGGGGTGCGTGGTTTGTGTGTGGTGTGTGCTGTGTGTGTGGGGGGGTGTGGTTTGTGTGTGGTATGTGATGTGTGTGTGGGGTGTGTGGTGTGTGTGTGTGGTGTGTGGTGTGTGGTGTGTGTGGGGTGTGTGGGGTATGTAGGGTGTGTGGTTTGTGTGTGGTATGTGATGTGTGCGTGGGGTGTGTGGTGTGTGTGTGGCGTGTGTCGGGTGTGTGGTGTGTGTGGGGTGTGTGGTGTGTGTAGGGTGTGTGGTTTGTGTGTGGTATGTGATGTGTGTGTGGGGTGTGTGGGGTGTGTGGGGTGTGTGGTGTGTGTGTGGGGTGTGTGGTGTGTGTGGGGTGTGTGGGGTGTGTGGGGGTGTGTGGGGTGTGTGGGGGTGTGTGGTATGTGATGTGTGTGTGGGGTGTGTGGCTTGTGTGTGGGGTGTGTGGTTTGTGTGTGGTATGTGATGTGTGTGTGGGGTGTGTGGTTTGTGTGTGGTATGTGATGTGTGTGTGGGGTGTGTGGTGTGTGTGGGGTGTGGTGTGTATGGGGTGTGGTGTGTGTGTGGGGGGTGTATGGTGTGTCTGTGTACACACCACGTTTTGTCGTTTTGTTTGTTCTGCATTTTATTTTTTGAGGACCCTCCGTACTGTCTTCTATAGCACTGGTTTACATTCCCACCAGCAGTGCCCAATGATTCCAATTTCTCCACATCCTCACCAACATTTATTTTCTGTGTTTGTTTTGAGACACAGTCTCACTCTGTTGCTCAGGCTGGAGTGCAGTGGTGTGCATAGCTCACTGTAACCTCAAACTCCTGGACTCAAGTGATCCTCCTGCCTCAGCCTCTCAAGTAGCTAGGATTATAGGCATAGGCCGCCACACCCTGCTACTTTTTTATTTTCATTTTTGTACAGATGGCATCTCACTAGGTTGCCCAGGTTGGCCTCAAACTCTTGGCCTCAAGCAATCCTCCCGCCTCAGCCTCCCAGAATGCTGGGACTGCAGGCATGAGTAGGCAACCTCATAGGTGTGAGCTGGTACCTCTTTCTGGTTGGATCTGCATTTCTCTGATGGGTGGTAGTGTCAAGCATCTTTTCATGTGCTTGTTGGCCATTTGTATATCATCTTTGTAGAAATGCCTATTTAAGGCCTTTGCCTACTTTTATGCAGGCTATCTAATTTTTATTGTTGAATCATAGGAGTCCTGCATCTCTTCTGGATAGTTCTCTCCTATCAGATGGATAATTTGCCGATACTTTCTCCCATTCCACAGGTTGTCATTTCATTGTTGTGTTCTTCGATACAAAGGAGTTTTTAAGTTCGACGTAGTCCCATTTGTCTATTTTTGTTTTCCTTGCCTGTGCCCTGGAAGTTTTATTGAGAGATCCCAGATTGTTCCTTTTGAAAGTATGAAATTCCATCTCCGTGGCAGTAAACAAGCTGCAGTGGCCTGTGCCAGCACCGCTTGTGAAATCCCTTCTTTAAAGTACTCCTCACCGCACTTGGACCTATTTCCCATTCTGTGCAAACAAGTCCACGTTGCTCGCTTCGGAAGCAGGCTTTGCAGGAGTCGATGCCTTTCTCTCAGTGGCGTGCTCCCCAGCCTCGTCCTTTGCAAGGAAACCACTTAAACTGCCAAGCATTTGCTGCCCGCGCACCTACCCGTGCCATCTGCTGCCTGATGCTGGTGCGGACGACACTGTCTCTCACAACCCAGACACCGATGCCAACTGACCCCTCTGAGATGAACTTCCTTTCTCTAGAAAATGCGAGAGAATGCAGGTGGATGCCACCTCCATCACTGGACCATCTTGAGAATCAAATGGACACAAGCCCCTGCACCGGCCGGCACGCAGCGCTCCCTCCAGCCTTGCTGAGCCGTGGGCTTGTGTCCCGGCCCTACCATGCCTGTGGATCAGCCCACACTGGCACCACACTGAGCCCAGCCAACAATGCCCGAGTGTGTGGGCAACAGAGGATACTGGTCATGGTGGCAGCTGGTGATCACGGACAGTCACCAACCTTGGAACACGGCTTGTCCCACAGACACAGTCACAGCCAGGACTGCTTGGTGTCCACTGTGGGAAACAGCATCTTCCATCTCTGTCTCAAGAAGGGCCAGTTTGGTTTCCTGTGGTCCCATAGAATGATGTAGGGACGTGGAATGGGAGGAGACTGGGATCCGTCTGGCCATACCCCTTGAGTCTGCCTGACTTAGCCAGTCCCCCATCCCCCACTGAGGCTCTCCACCCTGCCCCTGTCCGAAGTGGGCAGGCTTGGGTTTTGTTTTTTGTTCTTCCAAACCCTGCTTAGCTGTGTCATCTGGACAGAAGCCCGACGCTTACCAGAGCAGGCTGGGGGGCGGGGGGCTCCCGGCACTTGGGCAGTCAGGTTTGAGACCTGGAGCTCACCAGCTTGTCTGCACCCCAGAGAGGGCCCAGGGGCTGTACTAGACGATGTCTAAGGGCTTCTCAGCAGAGCCCCTGGGAGCCACGTGCAGAAAGCCTGACCTCCTGGGCAGGTGCACCCAGAGGGAACCCAGGGCACGGGGCTGATGTGTGAGGGATGCCACCTTTGTGGGGCACTGCACTGGTCAGGGAGGTAATTCCGGAATGCCAGCCACCTTCCTAACTGCAGTGTTCCTTGGAACTTCCATTATACTGCATTTATTTTTTCTATCTTTCTTTCGTTCCACGTTTCCCGAGCCTCACTACATGCAGGAGGGTGGCCCCTCTCATGCCTTCCGCTGACCACAGTCTCTGCTCCAACACATTCTTCAGCCCACCTGCTCCTTCTGCTGGTCCCAGGGCCATCCGGCCATCCCCAGCCTTTGCCTCCCACTTCTCTCCCTCCCGCCTTCGAGGGATGCCCCTCAGCTCTGGGAACGGCTGCTTCCCTCCTGGCCTCCTAACTCACCATCAATTTCTTTCTGATGAGGATGTGACTGCCTTTTCAGTTTCTAGTTTCAGGGCACTCAATACCTAAGGGTTCCATGTGGCATCTGCCTTGCATCCAGCCTGTGCCCCAGCCTCGGCCACCCCTCTGTGATCTCAATCTTCGGACGCCTGCTTGCTGACAGCTCCTCCGTGCCAGGCCTGTGCCAAAGTGAAAATATTCTTTCCTGTTTATCAAAGGGTTCCCAGCCACAACTCTCTCCTCCCAGCCTCTTCCTCAGCCCACACCACCCCGGGAGCTGGCTGGGACTTCTCTTTATTGTGCCCCTGCCCCCAGAGCCACTGCATAAAGCCTGGTGAGAACTGGGTATTTTACTGAGGAGTGTGTGTGTGTGTGTGTGTGTGTGTGTGTGTGTGTGTGTGTTGAAGGCAGGACATTTTACTCCCCAGAATAATCTTCCATCCCAGATCAGATGAATCACTTTCCCCCAAGATGTCTCCAGGCTAGGCTGTACAGTGGCTTCCCCCTCCCTCCCTGCCTCCCTCTCCCTCTTTCTCCACCTCTACCCCTTCTCTTCTGCAGAAGAAATTCGGGGGTTGTGGCCCCTCCAATGTTACAGCCAGCCTCCTTCCCTCCAGCTGCTGGCTTCGAGGACGGAAAAGGCCCTCGAAACAAGAGGCTGGCTCCTCTGTTTGGGGCAAACACAAGACCCCCAGGCTGCCAGGTGCGTTCTGCTTGGAAGGCAGCCAGGGAATTGTAAATCACAGATGCACAGAAAACATGCGTTTGCATCAGACACAGTGTAGTTTCTTGGTGTACTTGGTGGGGAAACAGAGGCTCCCTCCATGACCCCCACTTGTGCAGGGCATGGGCTGAGCCGGGCATCCGGATACATGACAAGGACACAGTCCTGAAGGTGCTCCCGGGGTGACAGGCAGACAAACCGTCGCAGCTGCCAGGCCGCTAGGGGATATACGAGGCCTCAGGAGTCACCACAAATGCCAGCAGGGTGGTTAGAGGCTCCCCAAGGAGGGGACACTGGAGGTAGTCCTGTCGGGCACAAGGGAGATTCCAGTCAAGGGAGAGCAGCGTGAAGGCATGGAACATGAAGGCGCCGTGCTTTTCTTTTTTTTTTCCATGGTGGAGTCTCGCTCTGTCACCCAGGCTGGAGTACAGTGGCGCGATCTCAGCTCACTGCAACCTCCGCCTCCCGGGTTCAAGCAATTCTCCTGCCACAGCCTCCCAGGTAGCTGGGATTACAGGCACACACCACCATGCCCAGCTAATTTTTCTATTTTTGGCAGAGACGGGGTTTCACCATGTTGGCCAGGCTGGTCTCGAATTCCTGACCTCGTGATCTGCCTGCCTCAGCCTCCCAAAGTGCCAGGATTACAGGTGTGAGCCACTGTGCCTGGCCGAAGGTGCCATGCTTTAAGAACAAGCATGTGGGTTTGCTCATCTCCTCACCCCTGTTCTTACTGGCAACTGCTCCAAGTGCTGGGTACAGGGTGAAAAGGACAGACATGCTCCTGGCCTGGGGAGCTCGCCATGGAGGGTGCCCAGGGCTCAGAGGCAGCTCACAGAAGAGCAGGCAGGGCCCGTGCCATGGGGAACCTGGGCGGTGCCTGGCAGGCCTGGCCATCCTGCTGGCAGCAGGTGAAATGGGGGTAAAGGAACCTACATTCAGTGGGTCCCAGTAACACCAGATGCAGTGTGGGGTGCATCGTCCATGCTATTCCATTAACAGGTTAAGCGACGGAGTCAGATCAGTGACTGGGAAAGGTACCCCAGGCTAACCACACAAAGAAGGGCCTGAAGAGGGGACAGCAGATCCCGGGAGATGGGACCAGGAAGAAGGGCCGATCCGACCCCGGCGGGGCACTGTACGGTGGAGTGACTGGAAAGGGTTCATCACAGCGAATGGCATTTCCACCACACAAGGTGACATCGCACAGACTGTGGGGATTGCTTCCTACCTACACAGAGCATCTAAATTGGTGTATTCACTGGCACCACGTATAAAAAGGGACCTCTGAGCAGTGGTAGTGAGGGTTCTCTGGGTTAGGGGATGCCTGTCTAATGCCACAGCAAAAAAAAAAAAAAGTTCCAAAAGACCAGATGGCACAGCTGGCCCTGGCCCTGCAAATTCAAAGACTCAACCTGCAGGCATGTGGCTGGGCCACCCAAAGCCAGGAGACGCCAGGTGGGTGACGTGAGTAGGGCAGGGGTTTGATCTGCTCACTTCTGGACCCAGAGGCTTCTGTGCCCAGGCTGAAGCTACCCGATCTCCCGCAGGGAATCCTGACACGAGCGCCTCAGGCCTTGCTCCCAACACAGGAGCACCTGAGAGCAGACTGCAGGGGTGTAGGAACGCCAACAGGTGCCCGGCTGGATCCAGGCCCCCCTCACTCTCCGGGGTACTCCCTGCTGCATGGGGAGGTCCCTGTGCGCCGTCGTTTAAAGCAGAGAGCCCTGACATAATGACCCGACTCAGTAGGATGGGGCCATACTTGGCATGGAGGGAAAAATCTCATTTTTTAGATAATTGGACTGGCTGGGTTTGCTTCCTGGCTCTGCCCACAGCTCTGTCTATGCTCTCAGCTGAGGAGTTACGTAGGTCCCTCAGTTTCCCCTGCTGTGAAATGGGGGTGAAAGCACCCAGCTCACTGGACCATTCTGAGGATGAAAATAATTTTGCTTGCCCAGTGCTTGCATGCTTGCTGGGTGGACTTTCAACGAGTGGAGTGACCCCGTGTGGCTTTGCCATCGTTTCTCAAACCCTTTATGTCAGTTTGCAGGGGGAGAGAAGAGGCCCCTCGGGTGGCCAGGCCCACCGAGCCTGGCAGTAGATGCATCCTCCAGGTCCTCCCGGCAGGCCTTCCGGAGCTCTCTGCTCCTGGCGGATCTCCAGGCCTGGCCTGGCCACACACCCTGCACTCTGGACCTTCCAGGGGTCCCTAAGGAGAGGAAAACCCCTCACAGATGCTCAGAGAAGGGGACAGCCCCACAGGTGTTTCCCAGGGTAGGGTGCAGGCCTGGTGGGTGCCTATACCAAGTGGACCCCGCGGCAGGGTGGACCCCAGGGCAGTGTCCCCACAGAGCAAGCCACGGCCCCGCACCCTCCCACCTCCTCTTCTCCCGCACCTCGGAGGGTACCAGCCTCTGGGCCCCTGTCCTGCTGGTCTTGGCCGGGCCGGGTGGGCTGCCTGGTGCCCTTAGTTCTCCCCTCCCCAGGCTGACCTGGCCTGGGGGCCGGGTGGGGCGCGCCTTGGAACTGGGAGCCGCCTCCAACCCTGCACTCTGCTCCAGGCCTGGCCCATTCAAACCTTCCTGCTCTGTTTATTTGCACAGCCAGAGGACAAAAAGCCACGGCTCTGAGTCACTCCTGCTCCCAGTCGGCTCTGATTCATGCAGGAGGCCCGCGGAGGGGACTAACCCTGGCAGTTAACCTCTTGGTTTCTTTATGTCTCTACAGCAGTGAGCATCTGTGTCTTCGAACTGAGGATCAGGCCCCGATCGCCGCTCACAGTCGCGTGCTTGGGGTGTAATGTGGAGAAGAGAGGATACCACGGCACAGCCCGAGAGGTCCCCCCTCACCTCCAGCCCCTTCCCCCCATGCTGATGGAAACTTACAAATATTTCAGTCATCTCTCCGAAAAGGATTTGGTCATCTGGCAAAGGTGGTCCCAGAATTTGCCAGAAATATGCGTCAAATGTAGCCCAGGGTGTAAAGGAAGACAGGCTTAACGAAAATTAGATTATGGCGAAGAATCTGAAAGGAAATGAGAGATTCTGTGCCTGGTTGGTCTCCAGCCTCTGGGGAGGTGCCGCCTGGTGCTTCCTCCCTGTAGGTTCTGGAGAAGCTGGCACACAGGGATGCCCCCAGGATAGGGGGTAGACCTACTCTACGGCCGACCTCTCCTCAGTCCCACACATTTGTCATTCATCATACAAGGCCAGGGGGACACGTGGTTTTCATTTTTGATCCTGGTAAAAAGTGAATAAAACGTCTCTAGTAGCTAAGAAAGGGCTTTTTCTAGCTCCACTGAGTGAGTCGGGGTCAAAGCACCTCTTCTCAATTTGGGTTCGGGGAACAGCTAAGGGGTTCATTGAGGTTTTTTCCCACTTGCTTCCCCAAAGCTGAAGTGGTTTATGGTTAACAACAGATATCCCCAACTACGTAGAGAGGAGTGAAAAAAAGGCAGAAGAAATGAGGATGCTAACACTAACAGTGTGAGGATGAGCGCCAGTCCCATCATGAAGCGCCATTTGGGAACTGCCCAGCGGGTAAAGGCCAGCCAGGAGAGCTGAAACCGCACAGCCCTCACTGCCAAAGGACGTCGCCAGCTCCATCAGGGAGCCGCGCTGGTACATTCCGGGTGCATCCTTCTGAATTATCCTAACACGAAAGGCCTCTTCTGAAAATGATGGACGGGCATCTTTAATGTAGATTGCAGAAGATACAAAAATATATTCTGAAGGCCACTCTTTTGTATTACTTCAGCAAGTACCTAAGTCCTAACACCGAGTGGGGGTTGCGGTGAGGGCATTCCTATGTGGATGGCAGCTGTATTTTCACTGCACCACCTTATGATGGGACTGGGAGTAGTTGCCCTTCTCTGGAGGGAGGGTCGGTCAGCATGTGCCTGCCACACTATCTTTACAAAGCACTGGGCACCTCTGGATTTGTGTTCTCAAATTGCAGAAGTAATACAGGGCATCTGTAGAAAATCTAGAAATTAAAAAAAAAAAAACATAAGAAGGAAAGGAAGCTCTTTCATCAACTTTTGGTCCAGAGACATTCATTCTTGCCACTGTCTCTCCAGACAAACACACCCGTGCATGCACACACACACTTTGATCTTCCAACCTGAGATCGTATGAACTGCTCCATCCTACAATCATGGCCGTCACTTTATTAAACATCCACTTACAACACACATTTGCTGACTGCATAGTGTTCCAGCATATGGACCAAGCAGAGTTTATCCCACCTATTTCCCAGGACATTTTAATTTTGTCGCCAATATTAATGAAGCTGATATGAATTTCTTTGTTGCTCGGCAGCTCTGCCATTATTCACTTAAGATAATTCCTAGAAGTGGAATTGTTCATGCAAAGGGTATTTCCAGTCCTAGATCTTTTCTTACCTACCATCAAAATTCCTTTAGAAAGCTTGTGCAGCTTTTCTTCCCTCTGGCAAATAGGATGGCCTGGTTCCCCCACCTTCCTCAATACTGGGGTTTATAATTATGTATTTTTTCCAATTTAATAAAAAATAATATCCTTCTGTTTTATTTCTAATTCCTTAGATTATTGTTGAAGTTCAACACTTCACGCGTTTATTGACCAACTGAATTTCTCCTTTTATGAATTCATATTTTTTGCCCATATGGGGTAATTGTCTTTTTAAATTTTTTAAAGGCCCTTTTTCTAGTAAGAACATTAACCCATTGCAAAACAGATTGTAAATATTTTCTTCCTGGTTCTTCTAAAATTTTTGATTGTCATAGTTTTTTGGTATATAAAAGTTTACAATTTTAATTTAGTGAGTTATTATTTTGCTATTTTATTTATGATTGCTGGACTTGGAATGGTCAGCTTTTGGAAGCAGATGGTCGGAAAGGCCTGCATTAGTAAACACCACTTCAGCTCACTGGATGTTCACCACTGCCACCTGTAAGACACTGGCCTGATGTCCCGCTGTGTTCCGTCCACGTGTGGTTGTGGTGTTCCGTCCACAGCTGTGACTGTCCCTGCTGGCCTGGGCCATGGCACCTCAGTGGGATGAAATTATAGTAGGCCCCCTTATCCACAGGGATACACACCAAGACCCCCAGCGGATGCTCGATCCCAAGGATGGTACGGAACCCTATATATACTGTATGTGTTTTCTGTCTGATGACCCAGAGACTGGGGGGATGGAGCGGGACAGCTCGAGATTTCATCAAGATACTCAGAATGGTGTGCAATTTAAAATGTATCAATTTTTCTTCTGGAATTTTCCATTTAATAACTTTGGACTGTGGTTGACTGTCTGTAATTGAAACTTCGAAAAGCGAAACCATGGATAAACGGGACGGCTGTAACGGGATTCACCAGGAAGCCTGGCTTTGCTGTTAGTCAGGTGGTGGCAGGTGTGCTAAAAGGGACGCTGACTCAGTGCATTCTCTGACACCACGGTCTCACCTTCAGGGATAGTGAGATAGAGATAGGGAGGAGGAGTGGAGGAGACAAGGGCGGAACACTACCCCCACCGGGCGCCTAAGGGTGCCGACTTGCCTCAGAGCATCCAGATGGTGTCTCTGAAAGTCAGTTGGAAAATCAGTGATGGAGGTGCCCTTTCTAGTTACCCTACACTCACTGGGCGCTGGCTCCAGTGTCCCCCCAGGCATACAGAGCACAGGCTGGACATGGTAGAGCCTCCAATTTAGTTACCACGAAGCAGAAGTGGCCGGAAAGGAGAGCAGAGCATCCCCCAGGAAAAGCAAGTGTGCTGTGCTACGAATGTGAATATCGTGCTCATGAATCAAAGCAGCTGGGCTCTGCGCCTCGGCAGCTGTGGGAAGAACCCCTGCGGCGGTGACTGATGGGGGCCATGAGACCAAGATGTGTCTGGCTTGAGGGTGACCCATGTTCCTGTCAAGCCGACTGCACAACTTAACTAAGGAAGAGGCCAGGGCCCCGGCGGCCAGTCCTCCCATCTCCATCTGGAGTCCTCTCTCTTGGCAGCTTTTGGGAATCTCTTTCCCTTTGCACCTCCTCCCTGGTGGCTTCCTCTTTGCTCAGCAATGGGACTGGGAATGGGGGAACAGCAGCATCACACAGAACAGTTTTTTGTTTGTTTGTTTGTTTTGAGGTGGAGTCTTGCTCTGTCACCCAGGCTGGAGGGCAGTGGCGCGATGTCGGCTCACTGCAACCTCCACCTCCCAGGTTCAAGCGATTCTCCTGCCTCAGCCTCCCGAGTAGCTGGGATTACAGGTGCCCACCACCTCGTCCGGCTAATTTTTGTATTTTTGGTAGAACCGGGGTTTCGCCATGTTGGCCAGGCTGGTTTCAAACTCCTGACCTCAGGTGATCCACCCGCCTCGGCCTCCCAAAGTGCTGGGATTACAGGCGTGAGCCACTGCGCCTGGCCCGGAACAGTTTTTGTCTGCTTTTGGCAACTCAACCCTTGGTGAGATCCTTTGGGATTTGCTCCAAGTTCTCCTGATCCCTCAGTTTGGATTCTGAAAATTCAAACAATCCTGGAGCCCAACACCATCTCTGGGGCTTCTATCAGTGTCTCAAAATCTGGCTGAATAATGCCACAAAGGTGATGATGTCTTAAAAAGAAACAGGATGGGGTCATGGCTGAGGGAGCACTCAGAGCAGCTCTCTGGCCCATCCCTCTTGGGTGGGCGGTTTTGACAGTGTCTCAAACACAGGTGGCTGAGGAGCATGTAAAGGGTGCACAGATCAGGGAGGAAGAAAAGAAAAATGAGCAACCGAAGGAAAACACACAACTGGTGCTGAACGAGTTAGTGCCACCCTCCTGATGTCTCCAGGTGTCTCCCTGTCTTCTGGGAGCAGCACCTGCACACACGAAGAGCAGGAATCCCATGACTCTGGAGGTGGCACCAACCCCTTGAGGGCCTCTGAGCCCAGAACCAGCCTGAAGCGGTCCACCGAGCGGGCAGACGAGCCCTGGGCTGTGGACAGCCTGCTGATGGAGGCGAGAGGTGTGCACTCATGGGCCACCCTTGTGTGTCTTCCCATCAGGTACCAGACTCCCCCACTACAGATATGGCAAATGCTCCTGGCTCTCATCTAGAGGCTGACTGCAAGCAGCATGGAGGCTTAGCGTGAATCCCTCTCTGCCTCGGCCCCCAGAGGGTGAGAACTCAGTCTACTGTGGAGAGGCTTCAAGAGGTGTACTCAACATGTCACAAAAAGCAGAGGGCAGGCAAAAGAAACAGTGTGCCTCAGAATTGTTTGACACACGTGTGCGTGCATGCATGTGTGTGTGTGAATAAACACATTAGGAACTAGATGTCGAAAATGCTCTTAGGCACAACTAGAAGAGTTGGATAAGTGCTGAAGCAGGAGGATAAACTGGATAACATCTCTGAAAAGTGAGGGATGGGTGAACGCTTAGCCCCTTAGCCCCTCCACCCCCAACTGAACACCTCAGTTACCAGAGATGCACATGGTCTGGGAAGTAGGATTTTTTTTTTTTTTGGTGATAGTAGTAAGATACATACAATATAAAATTTATCATTTGAGCTTTTAAAGCATAGTGGAATTTAGTGCATACACCTTGTTGTGAAGGCATCATCACTACCTAGTTCTGGAGCGTTTTGTATTATTCCAAACAGAAATTCCACACCTGTTCAGCACTCACCCCCGACACCCCCTCCCATGAAGCCCGAGAAGCCTCCAGTCTCCTTTCTGCCTGTATGGATTTGCTTATTTGGGACATTTCATATAAATGAAATCCCAAATATCACAATATGTAGTCATCTGGCTTCTTGAGCTTAGCATAATGTTTTCAAGGTTCATCGATGCTGTAGCACATATTACACTTTTTTTTTTTTTTTTTGAGACGGAGTGTCGCTCTTGTTGCCTAGGCTGGAGTGCAGTGGTGCAATCTCGGCTCACTTCAACCTCTGCCTCCCAGGTTCAAGCGATTCTCCTGACTCAGCCTCCCGAGTAGCTGGAACTATAAGCGCCCGCCACCACACCCGGCTAATTTTTGTATTTTTAGTAGAGATGAGGTTTCACCATGTTGGCCAGGCTGGTCTTGAACTCCTGACCTCAGGTGATCCACCCGCCTCAGCCTCCCAAAGTGCTGAGATTACAGGCGTGAGCCACTGTGCCCAACCTCATTTGTTTTTATGGCTGAATTACATTCCATTGTACGAATGGGCTACGTTTTACTGATCCTCAGTTCATGGACACTTTGCTGTTTCCGTCTTTTGACTATTGTGAATAATGTTGCTATGAACATTCATGTACAAGTTTTTGTTTGAACAAAACTGTTTTCAGTGTTTTGGGGTATATACCTAGCAGTGGAATTGCAGGGTTATATTGGCTCTTAGAATTCTAGTAGCCAGAGGGCTATAAGAAACTTAGTCCATTATTTTACAGACGGGGAAACTGAGGCCCAGAGAGGCCATGACTTGCCTCGGACCACATGGGAAACTGCAAGGCTGAGGGCAGAAAAGTGTTCTCCACTGCTTAACTTGAGTCAAGACTTAACTTCAGTCAAGTCTTATTCTGAACCGTGGATCCCCCAGACACAAGACAATGGGTTCTGACCAAGAGAGTCACTTGGGGAGCTAGCTTGCCTCTCGCAAAGTCAACAGCCTTTGGTTTCTGCCTAATTAAAATTTCCCAAATTAGAAAAATACCACCTCAAAAAAGCTTACTAAAGGGAAGAATCCCATATGACTTATTCCAGAAACAGTGACTTCAATTAATTGCAAAATCTGTTGTAGAGAGTCACACCGATCATGTATAGTCACAAGCATTTAAAAGTTCTCAGAATTAGTTAATTATGGTTTCACATTGTGATGAACCAAGTAGGAGAAAGCCCGGTGGATGCGCCCAGGGAGGCAGAAATGCACAGCAGCTTCACTTTCTGCCTCCCCACTTCCTCTTTTCCTCTTTCTGGTTAGAAAAAGTGAAATTATGTAATTAACATTCAACAATATTTGCAACTTTCAGGAAACAGTACAACACAAGCTGATTGTCCAAGAGCCTGGTACAGAGAACCCCCAGGCCAGTTGGCTTTGGAGGAACCAGCCGGGAGGACAAAGTCTGTCATCTGCCCAATGTAATGGTGTTGGTTTGCTTGTTGTTTGTTTGTTTGTTTTGAGATGAAATCTCGCTTTGTCGCTCAGGCTGGAGTGCAGTGGCGCGATCTCAGCTCACTGCAACCTCTGCCTCCTGGGTTCAAGTGATTCTCCTGCCTCAACCTCTTGAGTAGCTGGGATTACAGCCGTGTGCCACCACACGTGGCTAATTTTTGTATTTTTAGTAGAGATGGAGTTTCACTATGTTGGTCAGGCTGGTCTCGAACTCCTGGCCTCAGGTAATCCACCCACCTTGGCCTCCCAAAATGCTGGGATGACAGGCATGAGCCACTGCGCCCAGCCTCAATGTAATATTTTATTGCCGTTCAAAGAGCTCTGCTATTCAAGCAGAAGGATGCTTTACGAGACAGACAAGATGGTCGTTTGGCTTCTTTCAGCAAAGACAGGGCTGGTCCTGCTTCCTCTGCAAACCGCAGCAGTGGCCTGGCCTGATCGTCTCTTGGAAGCTGTCTTTAGATGAGCCAAGGCTTTCAAAGTGATATCTGACTGCAGGTTTAGATCTATCGCTATTAAATCCAGGGGGAGGAAATCAATGCTGAGTTACCACTTCCTTTCCTTAACCTTGGCAAATGCTGAGCCGTGCTGGGCTCATGCTCAGACATTCATCAGCACGAGCTGATAGGTGACTTGGGCCTTAGCGAAGATGGGCTCCAAGGCCCGTCCAGCCTCAGGGACCAGGGAAGTGCCAGGGTGGTGGGACAGCTACTTGCAAACAGCCAGCAGCGTCCTTCCTCTTGCTCCCCTCTTCCTCTCTCATGGGAGGGCCCGCCCGTCATGCAGGGGCACCATGCCCATGGTGCCCCTCCCCTGAACAGTCTCAGGCCAACCCAAGCTCCCTCCAGTGGTCCTTGACCCCAGGCACAGCAGATGGCCCCCTGACCACCTTCCTCTGGGGGCCTCTGCTTTCTCTGGCATCTGAATCACCTGCGATTGTCACAGGCCCCTCAGAGACACGGCCCCCTCTGGGGCTTCTTGGACACACTTTGCTGGGCAGTGTTGATGCCTGGGACCAAACAGGAAGGGAAGGCACCTGAGGTCCTCTTCAAGTGACTGTGTCTGCAGCGGCCTCCCTCGTGGCACTATTGCAGCAGTGTGGAGGGGCCCTGCTGGATTTTCACAGTGTTGTTTTTCTGAGAACGGCAGGAAGGGTGCTTTTTCTGAGAAACTGCTGTCTTCTATGTCTCTGAGGGACACTGAGGAAGAGGTGCCGGGTCTCCCATGGCCAGCAGCAGAGAGAGGCACACGGCCCCAACACAATCCTGAAGATAAATACAGAATGGGACCTATTCTTAAGAGACCTGAGTCCCTTCCGTAGCCCTGATCCCTTGTGAAATTCTTCATATATCACTTGACCTATTCACATCCTAACCTTCTCTTTTATTTTGTCCTTCATAAAAAAAAAACTTTTCCATGTTATAAATTATAAATGATAGACTAATGTACACAGGGTTGCTGGGGACGCACATGGAAATTACATTGTTCCACACTGAAATTACATGATATTATTCACTTGTGAACTGTAGTAAAACAAGAAAGGAGATGACATACAGCAACACTGAAACGAGCAGAGAGGTGAGTAACCGTGCTCATCTTTTGCCTGTTGTTTAATTAGAAGGAAATCTCTATTCTCAGAAAAAAATAGTCTGAAAGAAAGTTTTGGAATTAGCAATAATTTAACACCCAGTAAAATGCCCTTCAATTAATTCTACCCTTCCAATGCTGCCAGCTCGCATGGGCCACCTGGACCCTGCCTATTAACACCTTCGCAGTCACACAAGACGGGACCTCAAGATAAGCTCTCTCCTGACCCTACCTCGGGGGCCATAAAACGCCAGTCCTGGATGCACCCCCTCTGCCACAGCCACCGCACGGCCCCCAGGGAGTTTGGGGATCGTGGAAACAGGTCCTTCTGCACCAGAGAAATCAACAAAAACAGGGCACCCTGGGATTCTTAGGGTACAGATATCTGTTTGGAGCACTCCTGTTCTGGTATCAGTGAAACAATACTTTTAGAAAATAGTAACATGAGCCCACGAAGGAGAGGGAGTCGCCAAGCACACACTGAGGCGGGGGTGCTGAGCACACATCTATGGGCCGCACGAGGCTTCGGGAGCCCCTAGATGACCTTTGCTCAGAGGGTCCTCGGCCATTCTGTATTTACAGTCTGTATTTCCACGTGTGACTGAGCTATCACGGGACCTGATGGTGGGCTTCTCGTTCTTCCTCTATTACTTTTTTATAAAGTGAAACCTCAAGCGGACTTCAGTTAATCATGTTTTTAAAAGATGCTGTTTCAACTAAAGAATATAGAAGAGTATATGCAGGTTTGGGGGAAGCGGTAGGAAACACTTGCTGGAGAAGAAATGTTCACCAGACAGAAAACAAGGAATGCGAAATGATCACATCTTTCTCTCCTAGCTTCCCATCTACGCATGCAGATTATCATGAACGAGAGGAAAGCCAGGCGGCTGGGCATATGTTGAAGATGTTGACTAGTTAGAAACCAGTATATATGTAGTATGCAATTTGGGATTATTTGATTTCAGGAAAATTAATCCTCAATGAAGACACTGTTCGCCCATTGGTGTCAATGATGTGAACAGAGACGTGTAGATGCCCGATTTGAGAAAGAGGAGTATGCCTTCTCCTCCTTCCTTTCCCTTCCCTTCCAATTTGCGGTATTTTAGGCATTTCCCAAAGAAATGATAACTGCCTTATTCTGTTATGTATCAAGACAAAACAGTCTCCCTGAGACTGAGATTTAAAGTTCACACAAACTTTCCGGAAGGGACCCAGTCGGTATAGGTTTTGCCAACCCTGCAGGCTAGCTAGCTTGCGCTGCGCCTGTGCACTCTTCCGCCGAGCTAAAAGTCTGAGTTGTGGAAGTAAAGGACAAGTCGCAGGTCCAGGGAGTCCACGCAGGCAGCCAGCTTGCCACTCCGAGCCCTCTGAGCACCGGCCACACGAACCACTCAAAGAGCAGAGATGAAGGAAAGGAAACGGTACTTGTAGATCTCGTGATTCAAAGAAAACGCTGCCTGCTTGCATTTTCACATACAGAATATGCTAATTCAAAGTAGAACAGACAAAGAAAGCTGCCGTGGCAGCAGAGCCCGAGATTGTACATGACTGGCCTGTGCTTTCCTTTAGGAGGTTGTTCATGCTCCAAGCTGTCCCTCATGGAGCCCCTGCCTCGGAAGCGGGCCAAAATCTCTCCACCCTTCAGCAGGGGCATCTACTTACAGAGATTTAACAGAAATGCTAGGGTGGCATTTTGTCTGGATAGCGACAGAAAAACAGTAGTAACGACGAAAGTTTCAACATTTTTTTCTCCACGGGGAAGAGAGCAAAAGGATCTCTAACCCTCCCCTCTCACAGCAAAAGGCCAAAAAGTTGCCCTAACCCCTCCTGGGGGGAGCTGCTCTGCCTGGTGCTCCGGAAAGACTCTGCCTGTGACCACACCACAGACCTCAGCCACAGGGTGGGGTCTGATGTTTAGTCAAGGTCGAAGGGTTAATACAAATCAAGGGGTTTGCCCAAATCTTTCCCGTCAGTCGCACACCAGACCTGCACATCCAGAGACACAGAGGTGAACCGTCTGTCAAATTAGACAGTGAGAATTAGGACTCTAATGCCAGACCACATAACAAAATTTACCATTTCCTCCCAGAAGATACTGATGGCTATTTTTTTAAGGCAGAATGTGAACTAAAAAGACAGGAGTATTTTCCAGGATAATCGAATGTGATAACCGAAAGCTCTTCTGAGTTCAACCCTGTCTTTCATTTCAGTGAAGGGAAAATCTGAACTAAAGAAAGGAGAGATGTGTCCAAGTTTAAAGGCACTGCTCTTCGGGTCTGAGAAGTAAAACTATAGTTCTCCATGAGGCTTCGACAGAAGCTGGGTCATCTGAATCTTTCCCTGGTCAAATAACAGAGGAAAACAATATTAGGATAGAAAACCGCTCAGTGAGGGACAGCCCCGGTAGACAAGCAGACACTGCACTCAGCTCACGCAGCCGCGCTCTCTCATCTTCATCACCACAGGATCATCATATTATCACACCACAGTTGAGGATGAAATAGCCCAGATATCTGAAGCACGTCAGATACCGTTTGGGTTCAAAATGACTCTATTTTTAACTAAGCACTAAAACATTTTCCTCATGCTGGAATCAAGTTATGTGTTGGCTTTTCCAATTTCAGATCCAAGTCTCTTTTCGAAGTGACAACCATTAATAATCGCTGAAGAGAAATCACACTGTGCCTCAGTTTACAAGAGCTTAAAATTCACCTTGTTAATGCTACCGCCCTCATTTCCAAATCAGCATTCAGGTAAGGCATAGTTTAATATCACTCAATCTCATCCAAAGGGTTACTACCAAACAAAAACAGAAAATATGTTTCTAAACAATTATTCATTAAAAATAACTATAACTGGGCTTAGGGTTTGAGTTTCTCTCTCTCTCTCTCTCTCTCTCTCTCTCTCCATCTCTCCCTCTCTCCTTCTCTCTCTCCATCTCTCCCTCTCTCCCTCTCTCTCTCTCTCTCTCTCCCTCCCTCCTCTGCTATATCCTCTCCCTCTCACTGCTTATGGCTCCAAATACTAAAACTTCAATCTCTATACTTCTTGGCGAATAATTTTTATAAATCATTGGCTTTAGAATTGTGTGTGTATGCTTAATGAAAGTTAATATAAAATTAGTATCTTAAAAAGCAAATATAACACAGGTATCAGTTTAAGGTAGATATTTCCCAAAATTTTGTGTAAAATATTTTCTTTATTAGTATAGGAATAAATGTATTGCTATTATAATTGGTATTTCACCTTTCATATTTCTGGGATACTATTCTTTATTTAAGACTTACAGGGAACCACTTCTAATTAGTTATATATTGGAAATATATTGAGATTCCTCAAATGGCGTCAGAAAAAATATGTGGAGTTTTGCTCAAGTCACATTTTTAGTTTATTACTCTGAGATAAATCTTAGTAGTAATTTCTTAGATAATTTGCTTATCTAAATATATAGATTTAATACTTTTGTAGAATATCTTTTTTATTTTAATTTTGAGATAATTATAGATTCACATGAGGTTGCAAGAAATATTATACAGAGATTCTCATATCTTCACTCCCTTCTCCCAGTGATGACATCTTGCAATTATCATAATCAGGAAACTGGCGTCAATATCGTCCCCAGACCTCATTCAGATTTCACCAGTTTTACATACACTCGTGTGTACATGTGTGTGCACGTGCATGTGCGTGTGTGTGTGTGTGTTTAGTGCTATGCAATTTTATCACGTGTAGACTCAGGTGACCATGTGGAATATCTTTTTAATCAGTTTCTGTTTGTAGTGTTTCATCTTGCCTTTACGTTTGAAAGCATCCATGTCTGTATCTCTTAGATTCTGTTTCTCCTTTATGGTTTTCCAGTCCTTGGCTACAGTAACTTATTCATCTCTTCTTTGAATTTTATTGCCTCATTTGTGAACTCTCTGCTAGCGGAGAGTTCTGTATTTGGTTTGCTTTTTGCAGCACATTTATCCTTTCCCAGGAAAAGACACAAACATAAACAGACATTCCAGCATGCATTCACAGGGTTTTTAAAGACACCAGTGAGAATAGATTAATATAAATACTAAGCTTAAAAACCGTCATAAAAGTTCAGCCTTTAAAATTGGCTTATTAAAATATTTGTTTTTTTTAAAGCCCAGATTTAAACTAAAGTTATGAGTTATAGTGCTCTGCTCAGAAAGAGTTTACTTTATGTGTGTGGTGTTTTTTTTTCTTTTTTTAAATTTTTTTGCCAGGCAAAAGGAATCCGGCATCTGTGCCGTCTACCCAGAACAGAGTGAAGCAAGGATGACAAGAACATGGTTCAGCTCAAGATCTGTATGAAAATATGAGTTTCAGGAAACCTCAGTGAAGTATTCTATCTCAAATGGCCTCAAAGAGCCACTGAAGTCTGAGGAATTCCCTCTCCAGCAAGATGAGTAGCAAGACTTCCCTGATGCAAGGCCGAAAGGACTGCTGATATTTAAGGGGAAAGACCCACATTAACAGGTCAAATCCCTACATCAGATCTTATTGATGGGTATTTTGTAACCAAACATTGCTTATATTCCAGGGAGCTCAGCCTTTCATTCTACTTCTTCTAGGCAAGCAAAAGCTCCATTGGGATTCTGCATTTCTGTTCTTCTCCACGAAGAACTGATTTTCTAGCATCCTGAATACAGCAGTTAACAAACACCTATGAGAAGTAAATTTTCAGGAGGGAGGAAAAGGCTCACATATATTAGATGGTGAAGGGGTCATGCAATTTCTTCAAAGTAGCTAAAAGTTCTCAGAAAAAAAAAAGTTTGTTGAGTGAGGAAATCTACTGAAAATCTGTGCACACTATGCAGAAGTTAGAGAAGATGTTTTCTTTAACCACACAGCAGGGAACAGGACAAATGTCTGATAAGTAATGGTCACCTTCCCCCACCCTCCAAGCCAGGTGTCTGGGACCCTGCTCCGAAGACTCAGGCATTTAATGAGAATACTAAAAAAATCCTTTTGAGATTTTTCTATTAGATGAATCCAACTGACTGGACAAAGACACCTGATTTATTGTCTAATTGTGCTTTTAAATACCAGGCCAAAGAAGAAAGGCAGGATAGATATCGGCAGCACCCGCACTCCACCATCTCTTGCGTTTCTCTTCCTTTCAGAGGACAATTTAGGCTTTGTGCTGCTGTTGCTGTTAGTCTTGACAGTTTTCTTCACATACGTGAAAACATCCCACATCAAACATTAAAATCACTTACAATGTACTGAAATGTCTAGAGATTCTTTGCTGATGCATATAATTAATGCTTCTTAGAAATGCTACAAATAAAAACAAATGCTGTTTAGCAACATTTTCAGGAAATCAAACCAATTATAATCGTATTGATCTTATAGGGAATAATGAGTTAAAGACAAAAAGAATGACAAGATGTCTGCCTAACGTGCCTGATAAATAAAAACAAGGTGTGTCCAGAATCATTCATGGATAAAATTTTTCCATATTTCTTTTCTCTTCTTTTAGAGTATCTATTTAATGAAACTAGCTTGTTTGAACTACTCAGTTATAGTCCAGTATGTAAAAATAAAAATAAATAGGCTCCTTATAGATCATCAGCTCTCCCACTAACTGTGTAATTATCTATTATATTTTCAAGGGCTTTTTTCCAAACAAGCTCTTGGCACTGTTTTTATTTATTTATTACATGTATTGCATTTTATTTTTCTATAATCTTTAATGGTTACCTATGGCTGATTCTCTAAGTTTTGAGGAGTGCGATTATTTTTAAATGAATTTTAAATGTTCCTACTAAATTCTAGCAGCATCATATCTACTGGTATTTGTTTTCAGTAATTTTCTGGAGGGCAGTCTTAACGATAATTAAAGTGACATTTTCCTTAAACACGGCTCAATGTGTGTGTTTTTAAAAAGATGACATTCCTCATCTGTTTGTTCTTATTTCAGATGTGCTATAAACCATGAATGAGGTAAAGCATAAATGGAAGTAACTAATGGAAGCTCATTATTTAGGCAGCAAAAACCAGAATTAATGTATTACCCCACTGTAGCGTTTAGTACTCAGCCAATCCAAACTTTCCTAGAGAAATATGTGATTGAGACACTTTCCATCTGTTTTTGACAAAGACAGGAGAAGATTCCCACAAGTTATTTTCTGCTGAAAATTATTTTTTAAAAACTATACAATTATCATTATCTCAGGAGGCTCTGCAGCTACAGAATTTTCAGTGACACCAAAATAAAAGCTAAAAAAATGAAATAAAACCCACCTGTGCTGGATCAGCTTTTCGTGGCCTCAGCAACAACATTCGCAGATATTATAGAACCACATAAAAAAAGAAATAGATATGTTTGGGAGAATAGGCGGCCGGGTGCTCTTGATTAATCTAAATTCCTTCTGTGTGAAGTAGAGTCTTTTATAAAAACATCGCAAGATGTGCGAGGAACTAAAACATACTAAGGGGGAAGGATTTTTAACTCGGCCCCAGCAAAAAGAACTCTGTGCCCCTCCATGGCCCTGGATGGCGGATGAGAGAGGGGCTCGCCTGCTCACAGAGCCTAAGGACGGCGCCTCCGTGGCTCGAGCTTGTCTAAAGGGACTTGGAAGGTGTCTGGTGAAAAGGACCCGGTGCAGGACGCCCTAATCGCTCTTCCAGAGGAAACCAGAACTTGGAGTGCTCCTGGCAGCTGTGTCCCCCGAGCCTTCTCCTCGCGCAGGGCCCGGCGCGCACAGCCTCCCTGTCCCCCAGACCCGTTTCCCAGCCTGGACCCCTCGCCCATCCCTGCGGGGCTGGATGGGCGGGGCCCCTCCCGGGTACTCCAGGGTCAAGGTTGGGACTCAGGGCTCCCAGTTCCTAGGTCAGCTCCACCTGCCTGCGGGCGCCCTGGGGCTCCGCGCGGCTGCGTCGGACCCGCCTGCCTCAGCGCTCCAGGCTCTGCGCTCTCGGCCCAGGGCCCTTCTCGGGCACACCCGGCCCTGTGGCTGCTCTGGCCCCGAAGCGCAGGGCAGTTTCCTCCCGTCCTCCCCAGGCAAACCCTGGAGCCGCAGGCCCGCACCTCTACGCCCACTGGGCAGGCCAGGGCGCCGACGGCCGGGGACCCCAGGCGCGAGCAGCTGGGTAGATCTGAGTGTCCGCCCGACGGACGCGCTCTACCCTTGCCCAGGAAGAAAGCGAAGCCATTCGCCCGGCAACACCCGGCTCGGGCAGCTTCGCGGGCGGCCTGCGCTGCGGCGGACGCAAAGGGCAGCTGGTCCTCATATCCCAGTCCCCAGCCGGCCCCAGGAGGTTTTTCTGATGCTCGCTCCTTCCACCGCCAACCACGGACACCCACACACCACCGAGAATGAAAACTGCGACCATCTGTCTAAGTATCTTCAGAACCCGCCGGGGGAGTCACCGGTCCGCCGGTTCCCAACTGACACCCTCGCGTGGAAGTCTGCACTCAGGGGTGTCCCTGGGACTGTGAGCGTCCCGCCCGCCCGCCTTCCTTGCTAAGAGGAAAAGCGCACGGCATCCAAGCCCCCGCGGCCCGCGGGGCCTCGCCGAGGAGACACGAGCAGGCCCCAATGCCCCTGCGCCCCTGCCGCCCGCCCCCCGCAGCGGAGGGCGCCCGTCGCGCGCGCAGCACCTACCCTGGCGCGCCGGTCCGGAGGTGGGTGGCGCGGCGCTAGTGGGAGGCGGACATGGACCACGCGCCCTCCATGCGCCACACGGAGAAGGCGTAGCTGAGGCGCTCGTGGGCCACGTAGCTGCAGCTGGTCATCTTATTGTCCATCTCGTCGCTCTGCAGGACCTGGTAGAGGAAGTCTATGTACCTGGCGGCCAGCTTGAGCGTCTGGATCTTGCTCAGCTTGTCAGAGGGCAGCGTGGGGATGATCTTGCGCAGCGCCGCGAAGGCCTCGTTGAGCGACTGGGTGCGCTGGCGCTCGCGCACGTTGGCCAGGATGCGCTGGCTCTGCAGCTCCTCGAAGGACTGCGCGCTGGGGCTGCCCTTCTTGCCGCGCTTGCCCGGGGTCGGGCTGCCATCTTCGCTCGACTTCTTGCTGTAGCGCCGCTTCCGGCCGAAGCGCTTGGGCTGCCTCTCGAGCTCCTCCTCGCTGGTGCCCAGGCTGTCCACGGGGGACACGGGCGAGCTGGAGCCCTCCTCCATGGCGCCCGCCCGGCGCGCGTGGGGCTGGGGGCGCCGGGGCGCCGAGCGCGCGCCGCTGGCCAAGCCCGCGGTCGCCGAGCACACGCTCTCGGAGTTGCTGGAAAGGCTCTGATTTCAAGGCCGGCTTGTGCAAAACCGAGGTCTCCGGGAGAGGAAGTTATTCTAACTTTTTTGGAAACTCTAGCTGGGCTGGGTTGCTAAATAGTTGTCAGGAGCTAGGGCGGCGCGCTGATTGGCCGCGGTGGCCGGGGGCAGGACAAGTTCTGGGGCCTTCGCCGGCCGCCCCCGCCCCCCGGCGCGGCACTTTCAGTTTTGCCTCCCCCTTCGGCCCCGGCGCGGAGGGCATCCCGGGGGCCGGGTCCTCGCCCGCCGCCCGCGCCCCCACCCCGAACGCAGGGCACTCTCAGGCCGCCCCGAGCCCTAGGCCCGGCCAAGCCTGGCTTTGTCTACGCCTCAACGTAGAGATCGGCCCCCACTGGGCTTTGGGGGGTTCTCTCTCTGGGCGTGAGGGGCTAGAGAGGCGAGTCCAGTCCCAGATGCGCTCCCAGAAGATGAGGACGCAGCCAGGAGCCTCCTCGACCTGTGTGGGTCTTGGCCGCCCCCGGGCGCACAGCTAGTCTGCACCGCGGCCCGCAAGCTTAGGCCTGGGGTCTGGGGAGCTGCGCGGGCAGGGGTCTCGGTGTCCGGACCGCCAGTGTAAGGACAGTCGGGGCCCCCTGGAGACGCCCGTGCCCAAGGACATGCCGCCAAGATCCGTGGAGATGCCACCCTTCGGCCAGCGTGCGTGTCGGGGACCATTTCTTACCCTGGCTTGCTGGGGAGCCCCGGCCCCGACGCCCTTCCCGAACCTTCCTTCTAACAGCTTTAAAACAACGCCACAGCGAGCCTCTGCGGGAGCGCCCGGTACCCGCCGCGCCCGCCTGCCTGGCCCTACCCGGGTTGCTGGGCGCGGGTTGGGGCGCCTGCCGGCCCGCCTTGTACGGCCCCAGCCTCTGCGCTCCGCCTTCGCTTCGCGGGTCAGCAGAGGACGGAGGGCGCTCCGGGAGCTGCACGAGGCTGCCCCGGGCCCAGCCTCCGCTGCGCTGGCAGCCCGCGGGCAGCTCCGAGCAGGAGGCTCAGGGTGGCTGGAGTGTGGGGCCCGGCCTCGGTGAGCGACACCACGGACCCCGGCCCCGGGCCATCTGGACGGCGAGCGCGAGCGCGTTTGAAGTGGTTGGGGGGCTCTTTGTTCGCCAGGCCGCTCTGGCTCTGGGCCTGGAGGTGGTTTTTACGGCTTTGATGCCTTTGAACCTATTCCCAGGTGACCCGGGCTCAATTAGGCCCGGGCCTGAGCCGGGCTGTCAGGCAAGCCGCGTGATCAAGGGCGGGCTGGGCCCTTTTATTGAAGTTGAACCCGAGACCGGGGAGTGCTCGGCCTCCGCTGCTCCTCCGGCCGGCCAGGCGGGCCGCGAGGTGGGGCCCGCGGGCCACGACCACCGCGTTGGGAAACCCGAGGACGGCAAAGAGCGGGCCCTTCGCGCCCCTGTCCGAGGGCCCTGGCTCCGGCCGTTCTAGGGGACGTTTTACCAACAATCCGTCCAGGAAGGCAGAACGCCTAGGAGCGGGCCCTCGCATGCATGTGAGTCGGTAGCAGCGCCCTGCGCAGTGTCCGCGCACCGGACCCGCGGCTTCAGTTCGGTGCCTAAAGGTTCTGCAGAGCCACCGCACCCAGCCCCACCCGGCCTGACCGCCCTCCTTCCTCCGCGCTGGGAAGGCCCACGGCCCCTCTAGCCCAACAAAATAGCTTTCCAGGTCCCTTTCTTTAAAATTCTCAAATAAAAATTTAAGGAACGAGAGAGAGAGAGAGAGAGAAGCCAGGTCCCCAGCCGTCCTGCCGGTGCTGGGCTGCAGCCCTTCCTGGGGCTTCACGTCAGATGGAAAGGGCCTGTTTTTCCCGAACTGGCCTTTCCCTGGTTTCTTTGCTCAGAGCAGTGACAGTAGCGATTTGCTGCCCTTTTACCAACCCTGTGTGGGTCCAAGGACCCAGATCCAGGGACATCTTCCCTTTCCCAGATGCGGAGGGCTTTTACTGAGGAGAGGACCTGCCTGGTAGCCTGCTTCGCCATCCTCGTCTCCCTGTCTGCGTGCCCCTGTGTCACTCTGGCTCTGTCGGCGTGTCTCTTTCTCTGTCCTTTCTGTCTCTTTCTCCAGCAGAGAGAGTTCATAGTTTAGTTTGAAAGAAAAACAGCTCAGCTTTGGTCCTGAGCAGCCCAGGGCTCAGCCCAGCCCTGAAGACCAGAGGCCCCGGGGACGCCCTGGAAGGGCAGCGCAAGCTGGATTGCAGGCTCACCTCTGCCTGGGGAGATGGACCTGGAGGATTTCACCTGCGACCCCCCGGGGCGCCCTGGAGCTATCATAACCAGCAGCCCAGTTCAACCGTCTGGATGCACTTTCTTCATGGCGTGTCTTGTCTATTTTAAAATGCTTTAACAATGATTATAGTACTGGAGGCTGTGATACTGACGGCTGCCTGCGGAAAACCTTGCTTAACAGAATTTGGAGTGACTTTCTTATGCTGTATTGCCAGCCCCTCAGAGTCATTACCTGGGCAGTGACCCCTTGCATACATAGGAGAAGCTAAGGCACAGTGGCATTTAGCAGCGTTTCCAATGTCACCTGTATGTTGGCTGGGGAAGTGACAGCATTCCCCTCTTTTGAGGAGGGGAATTTGCTGAATTAAAACCCAAATGAAAATGTCATCAATTTGGGAAATAATACTCAGGTTATTGATTTAGTTTGAGTTTTTCTTTCAAAAATTAAGTCAGTGATAAGGCTAATAAAGCCAATTTATTAATAGCATAAGTAATACAATATATCTCTGTGTGAATACTCTTTGCAGGACCACCCAGGCTCACTTGGACTTCAGTAAAATATCACGCAACAAAGATTCACAGAAGTAAATACAGTTCTTGGGGTACTTATTCATTACTGAGTATGGAAAATCCTGTGAATGCTTCCTTTCATATATGTAAAAAAGTGTGCTTTGTTTCATGTGACTTTGTGTTTTTTAAAAAAAAATGAACTGGTGTTCTGAAAGATTCTTCTATTGCACATTTTCCTTAGGGCAGCAAGTAACAGAAGGTGATATGTTTTCACAGCAAATTTGCCAGCTATTAGATTGGCTTTAATCTTGCTGCAGTAGAATGACACTGCAGGGATTGTCACCTGGGGATAGTCTTCAAGAATAGCAGCCAGGCACGGTGGCTCGCGCCTGTAATCCCCCAACTCTTTGGGAGGCCAAGGCAGGTGGATCACCTGAGGTTGGGAGGTCGAGACCAGCCTGGCCAACATAGTGAAAGCCCATTTGTACTAAAAATACAAAAATTAGCTGGGTGTGGTGGTGCATGCCTGTAATTTCAGCTACTCGGGAGGCTGAGGCAGGATAATCGCTTGAACCCAGGAGGCGGAGGTTGCAGTGAGCCAAGATCATGCCACTGCACTCCAGCCTGGACGATAGAGCAAGACTGTGTCAAAAAAAAAAAAAAAGAAAGAAAAGAAAGAAAAAAGAATACGACGCAATTATACAGCCCCTGGGCTTTCTTAGGATAAGAAACTGTGTACTTGCTCAGATGTGAAAAAAATTTAGTAAACTCTCAGGAGCTAAATAAAGCAATGAATTTATACATTTGAATGCTGTTGTCGCTACCTTTTGTCAAAATGCCTGCACGGGTGAACCCACCTGAGCTCTTCAGCAGATCCTTTTGTAGTTTAACTCTATGAAGTTCTTGTTGGAGCAAGAGACAAAAACCAAGATATCGTTAAAGGTCTAGTTTCCATTCCCAGTGACATGGTGGGTTGTTACCTCCACTTGAATTTAGTGAACTGAGAGCAGATGACAGAGCAGCCCATATTTGTGTGACAGAATCAATCCAACAGATTAATGAATCAATGACATTGATCCGGGGGTTGGTAACAGCATCTCCCAAACAGCACTTCCTTATTTGCAAAGCAAATAGCATTGGCGCAGTAGCAGTCTTACACTAACACAGCGCTCCACTGACACTTTTCCATCAAACTAGTCTTGGTGCCTTCATTTTGAATTATTCTCTCGTAGACTGAGATGACAGTGAACATGACCCATTATTTTAAGAAACCACAAGTTTTCAGAGATGGACTCTTGAGAATTATCTGACAAAGTTTTGGCATTTCTGTGTAGATTCTAGGGGTCTTCAGCATCATGTTGCTGAATGCTAGAAATATGCTGTCTGGGAAAAAGCTATCCTTGTGCCATGTATTGTTGGCTTTATTCTGGCAATACTTTATGCCTACCTGCAACCACCTGCCACCCCCCAAGATTTCAATCATCCAGCACATTCCCCAGTGTGATAGAGCAGCGGTGAGGGTTGGGGGTCACTGTAAAAGCATTTTTCAGTTCTAAAAACCAGGGTTGAAGATGCTTCTCGAATCTAGTTGTAAAGTGCAATGTATTCTTGGTGATGGGCATCAGAACACTTTCTGGATGTCAAGTCCAAGAGCCAATCTTCTGCCTAACTTCAGCAATGACACCAGCAGGATGGAATCCTACTTACAAAGAGCCAGAACCTAAAGCCCAGGGCACACATCCTGTACAGGCAGGATTCTCCTTTAAAAATCCCAACTGCTACTTTGGGAGGCCAAGGTGGGCAGATCACTTGAGGTCAAGAGTTCAAGACCAGCCTGGCCAACGTGGCAAAACCTCATTTCTACCAAAAATACAAATAATTAGCTGGGCATGGTGGTGTGTGGCTGTAATCCCAGCTACTCTGCTGGCTGAGGCACGAGGAAGGAAATCCTGGTAACTGCTGCAATGTGAATTAATCTTGAAGTCATTGATGCAGTGGCTCACAACTGTAATCCCTGCATTTTGGGAGGCTGAGGCGGGCAGATCACCTGAGGTCAGGAGTTCAAGACCAGCTTGGCCAATTTGGTGAAACCCTGTTTCTACTAAAAATACAAAAATTAGCCGGGCATGGTGATGCACACCTGTAGTCCCAGCTACTTGGGAGGCTGAGGCAGGAGAATCTCTTGAACCCGGGAGGCAGAGGTTGCAGTGAGCCGAGATCGAGCCACTGAACTCCAGCCTGGGCAACAGAGCGAGTCTCTGTTTCAAAAAAAAGAAGAAAGAAAAAAAAAGAGAAAGAAGGAAAGAAAAGAAAGATCACTATATGGAAGAGATATCTGTGCACCCGTGTTTATCATACCACTCTTCATGATGATCAAGATATTGGATCAACTTAAGTGTCCATCATAGATGAATGCATACAAAAATCTGATATATATATATATATATATGATATATATATATATAAGATATATATATATATATCAGATATATATATATATAATGGAATATTATTCAGACATGAAAAGAATGAACTCCTGTCACTTTCAGCACCATGAATGGAACTGGAGGTCATTGTGTTAAGTGAAATAAGCCAGACACAGAAAGACAAATATCTTGTGTTTTCACTCACATGTGGGAGCTAAAAAATCATATCTCATGGAGATAGAGAGTAGGATCGTAGTTCCCAGAGGTCAGGAAGGGGAAGGGAGAGAGGGGGACAAAGACAAGTTGGCCAAGGGGTACCAAAATATAGTCATATAGAAGAAATAAGTTATAGTATTCTGCAGTGCTGTAGGGAAATTACAGTTAAAAATAATTTATTGCATATTTCAAAATAGCTAGAAAATAAGTTGTATGATGTTTCCAACAGAAAGAAGGACAAATGTTGAAGATGATGGACATCCCAATTACCCTGATTTGATCGTTACACATCATGTACAGGTGTCAAAATACCCCAAAAATATGTCCAACCAACCTGTCAAGAAAAAATATAAATGTTATAGATTCCGATCAACATTAAAAAAAAGATAAAAAATAATCCCCTTGAGAAATCCCTGGGGGTAGGGGGCCCAAGGCACAGCTGCAGTGTAATGGCCCTGCCCTCGAGTGTCTGACGTCGCTAACCCAGCAGTGTTGAACAGCGTCATCTCCTGGTGGTATTGTTCCTCCGTGTTTTGGGTCCTCATCCTCCTTTCCATCCAGCCTCTCTTCTTTCTTCTTGAATTGCAGCAGATGGGAAAATGAAAATGACCTTTTTCAGTATCTGGCAGCCCTGATCGGTGAGGTGCACTTCTAGGGATATGTAGGGAAATGGGCAGATGCCTGCACGTCACTGGTCAGCCCAGGGTGGAGGTGTTTGGTTTTCTTGGCAGCATGGTGTCCAGGCACCAGATGTCCAGAGGTGTGGTCTGCACATCCGGTTCCTGGAGAGACGTATAGCAGGAGCGCTGCAGCTCGGAAGCTGGCTGCAGCAGGAGCGGCTCCTTGATTCCAGGTGGTTCTGGATTCACCAGTTTCTGGATGTGATGAGTCAGCAACTCCAGCTCTGCAGTATGGCTCAGAAGCCAGCCTTGACAGCTCTACCTAGAGCCTGCTCATTCAGCTCCACAAACAATTCTATCATAGCCTCTAATAAGTCGTTTCCTGCTTAAGCAATGTGGGCCTTGTTCTCCATAATGGAATCCTGGTGCGACACCCACACTTCTGGGCTGTGGTTTAGAAGGTGGACGCTTGGGCTCCCCCTATCCTTTGGCTTTGACTTCTTGACATCATTCACATCTGCTTGTAAAGTGGAGCTAACACTGGCCTTTGGCACATGTTTTTATTTTTATTTATTTTATTATTTTATTTTATTTATTTATTTTTTGAGGCAGAGTCTCACTCTGTCACCCAGGCTAGAGCGCAGTGGCATAATCTCAGCTCACTGCAACCTTTGCCTCCTGGGTTCAAGCAATTCTCCTGCCTCAGCCTCCTGAGTAGCTAGGATCACACATGCTCACCACCATGCCCAGCTAATTTTTGTATCTTTAGTAGAGATGGGGTTTCACCATGTTGGCCAGACTGGTCTCAAACTCCTGACCTCAAGTAATCCATTTGCCTCGGCCCCCCAAGGTGCTGGGATTACAGGTGTGAGCCACTACGCCCAGCTGGCACACATTTTTAAATGCCTTTGAGATCTAATCAAAGTTGTTCTTGCATCAAACTCATATGACTTTTTTAAACCTGGAAAATATACCAAATTTCAATTAAAAAATGAAAATGGAAAGATCAAACAAGACATAAATAGAATCAGAAAGAATAGGGTGTAGGGGGCTGGGATGGGAGCCAATTCCCTCCAAATAAATCTTGTTTTGTAGATTTGACTTTGGAATCATGTAAATGTTCATATAATTATATATATAAAATCAAGTAAAATAAAAAAATAGAATCCCTAAAAAATCAAAAGCAAAATCACACAAATGTACCTTATCAAATGTGTATGATATTGGTGGCTCAACCATGCAGACAGAAATAATTTAAGATAGCTTTAAAACACTATAATTGCCTTACGTCCCTAGTGAAATACATTCTAAAGGCAAAAAGAACTGCAAAAAAAGGCTTAAACCTTTCAGCATTCATGTTTCTAGTAATAAAATTGCTATTGTTATTCCAAAACTATATTGTGAGCTAAGCCAAATGAATAATTATGTTCATGTCTTTGGGGATCAAGATCTCCAACCTCAAAGAAAAGAGGTACGAATGTAAAACAAAAGAAGTTGCCGGGTGCGGTGGGCTCCCGCCTGTAATCCCAGCACTTTGGGAGGCTGAGGCAGGCAGATCACAAGGTCAGGAGATTGAGACCATCCTGACTAAAACAGTGAAACCCCATCTCTAGTACAAATACAAAAAATTCGCTGGGCGTGGTGGTGGGCACCTGTAGTCCCAGCTAATCAGGAGGTTGAGGCAGGAGAATGGTGTGAAACCGGGAGGTGGAGCTTGCAGTGAGCTGAGATCTCGCCACTGCACTCCAGCCTGGACGACAGAGAGAGACTCCATCTCAAAAAAAAAAAAAAAAGAAGAAGTTAAGTGAAACCATGTAATTCTAAATTTGTTGGAAACATCAGCTATGGGCTTGGGTCTGTATTTCCTGACCCTGACCACTGAAAAGAACTAGAACAACGAGCCGCCCACTGCAATGAGCACCGCTAGTGTGCAGATTTTGGTCTCTCCTTGAAGAAATGGTTGACCTAGATCTAGGGCAAAACAAGATAAGCCTGGAGCATCTTACTATACCAGAAGACAAGGAAGCCATAAATAACTACCATGTTCATGTCAAAAGGACCAGGAAGGAACTGAAAAGTGTTTCCCCACTTCAGGGCAAATGAGCATGAATGAGAAAAGTAACTGCAATAGACAGAAACATATCACAGATGGTAAAAATCCTTAAGTCTCAATGTTACTCGAATACAAAACTTATTGGTCATTTTTGGCTGTTGCTAGGAAATGGACTCACTGTCCCAAAAATTGGTAAGTAAAGGGAAAGAATCAGGCATGTAACTAGCCTTTCTTACTGAATTATACCTCAATGTAATGTATGAGTTGATGAGAAAATATTTCACTCTATAGAAGTGTTCCAGATAACAAATGAAGGACAGACGGTAGAATTATAACATCTCTGTTATATAAGAATGGATTCAGGCACTGCTGGTCCATGCTAAGTAACATCATAGAAAGAGAGGTATGCCTCCTGGAGGCAGGACCCAGCACCACTTGAGAAGTTGCAAGTCATCTAGCCCCTGGCTAGGGCAGCCAGTTCCAGAAAAATCCAGGGCTAGCAGACAGGCTCAATGGTGTCATCAGGATGCAGTCAGATCTCACCCCTCCTCTGCTCCGCTCCCTCCAAGGGCTCATTTCACTTTGTATAAATGACTGTCTTTGCCAGCATCTGTAAGGCCCACCCAATCTGACAAAGATCCTGCCCCATGACCTCTCTAATTCCAGGTTCTATGTCTCTGGCTCACTCCACCCCTGTCACTCTGGGCTGCTGGCAGTTCCTCCCTGCATAGTGCATGTCCCCACACAAAAGCCTACCTGAAACTTCCTGCTCCCCAGATAGCCATGTGGCTGATGTTCTTACACCCTTCCAATCTATCTTATATCTATTATCACATAACAAACCACCCTCTAATGCAGTGCCTTCAAATACCAATCATTGTATTTGCTTACAGTTTTGTAGGCCAGCAGTTCAGATTGTGCTCAGCCAGGTGGTTTTTGGTTTGTTTGTTTGTTTGTTTGTTTTGGCAGTCCTGCCTGGTGTCACTCATGTGCCTGTGGTCATCTCATGGCTTAAGCCTGATGGCCTCTTTCACAGATCTGGTGGTAGTAGGCACCAGCTCTCACCCCTTGGTGCTCCTGCACATGGCTTCTCTAGCAGGCTGGCTTGAGTTTGTTCTTGCTGTGGTCTCAGGACTCCAACCACAGTCTGAAGAGCACAAGCCCCAAGGCAAATGCTTTCCAAGATTTTGCTCCTGACACATGTACCAATGTTCCATGGGCTAAGTCACAAGACCAAGCCCAGATTCAGGGCTTTGGCATTAAAGAGTTGATTGGCAGCTCTGTATGCATGTGTGTGTGTGCATTTGTGTGTGTGCATGTGTGTGTGTGTGTGCATGTATACGTGTATATGTGAGAAGAGGGACCATTGTCACTGGTAGGCTTACTTTGGGATGATCAGCTGGGGACTCAGTCACACTTGGGGGAAGACCGCCCAGTCATTGCTATTTTTCTTTGTGGCTGACCCTCTCTCCAGGGAGGAATTCTTCCACCTCCTGCTCTGGGGCAGAAGCTTGGGTTCTTTCCCTAAGTCTTGGGAGACTTAGGAGGGAAAGGGACCTAGGCAGGGGATCTCATCATTCAGAATGCAGATTTTCACACAGTTACCCTCTTTTCAGTACAAACCCTCTCATCTGTCAGCACTGCCAGGTTCTCCTTTTGGGCTCAGATTTTTCAGAGTGACGTTCCAGCTCCTTCCAGGCTTGCCCCCATGATTATTACCTCCCACCAGGTCCTTCCCACCACACATGGGAATTATGGGAGCTACAGTTCTAGATGAGATTTGGGTGGGCACACAGCCAAACCACATCCAATTCTCACTGTCCTGCCCTGATTTTTAATCTTCAAATTTGTCATTCACATCCTATGCCCTCACTTTCCTGCCCTGCTCAGCTCCCTATTCATTTAACTTCTTCAGACATAGCACTTTCAAATGAAAGCAGTGTGGAGGGATCATAGGAATCATGGTGGCATCTCTCCTCACCATACACTGGGGATACACCCTAATTAAAAATACATGTGGCTGGGCGCGGTGGCTCACGCCTGTAATCCCAGCACTTTGGGAGGCCGAGGTGGGCGGATCACCTGAGGTCTGGAGTTCTAAACTAGCCTGGCCAATATGGTGAAATCCCGTCTCTACTAAAAATACAAAAATTAGCCAGGCATGGTGGTGGGCACCCATAATCCCAGCTACTCGAGAGGCTGAGGCAGGAAATCACTTGAACCTGGGAGGCGGAGGGTTCAGTGAGCTGAGATCACGCCATTGCACTCCAGCGTGGGGGACAAGAGCAAGGCCTCATCTCAAAAAAAAAAAAAAAAAAGCGATTTATTGTACAACTATGGGTAGAAATTAATCAAACACAGCAAATTATTACTACAGTACCTTCTAATTAGCCATTATTTACTGTGCTTCATATTGTTCTAAGAAGTGGAGTAGGAGCCAATAGACAGATACTTTTTTTTTTTTTGAGATAGATGTAGTCTCGCTCTGTCGCCCCAGCTGCTATGCAATGGCGTGATCTCAGCTCACTGCAACTTCCGCCTCCCAGGTTCAAGTGATTCTCCTGCCTCAGCCTCTTGAGTAGCTGGGATTACAGTCACAAGCCACCACACCTGGCTAATTTTTGTATTTTTAGTAGAGACGGGGTTTCACCGTCTTGGCCAGGCTGGTCTCGAACTCCTGACCTCAGGTGATCCACCTGCCTCAGCCTCCCAAAGTGCTGAGATTACAGGCCTGAGCCACCTTGCCCAGCCAACAGATACTTTATGACAGTATGCTGAGGGATGTAATGGGGTTTCGAATCCACACTGAGAAGACTGAGAAGAGAATGATCTGCAGGATTAGGGGGTGCCTGGAAAGACCTCAGTAAGGGGCAAGTGTGATGGTGACTATTTTCAACTTGATTGGATTTAAGGGTGCAAAGTATTGTTCCTGGGTGTGTCTGTGAGGGTGTTCCCAAAGATTAACATTTGAGTCAGTGGACTAAGAGAGGCAGACCCACCCTCAGTCTGGGAGGGGACCATCTAATCAGCTGCCAACAAGGCTAGAATAAAGCAAGCAGAAGAACGTGGAAGGACTGGACTGGCTGAGTCTCCTGCCTTCGTCTTTCTCCTGTGCTGGGGGCTTCTTGACCTTGAACATCAGACTCAAGTTCTTCAGCTTTTGGACTCTTGGGCCTACACCAGTGGTTTTGCTGGGGGCTCTCAGACCTTCAGCCACAGACTGAAGGCTGCAGTGTCGGCTTCCCTGCTTTTGAGGCTTTGCAGACGGCCTATTGTGGGACATCAGCTTGTGATCATGCGAGCCAATTATCCTTCATGAACTCCTTTTCATAAATACATCTTTCCTATAGTCCTATCCCTCTAGAGAACCCTGACTAATACAGCAAGTAACATCTACCAGGCATAGGAGGGAGAAAAACTCATTCAGGCGAAGAGATGATGCTGTGACAAGACCCAAAGGCATGCAAGAGGCATTCATGTCCCTGAAATGGAGAGCACCCTGTGGCTCAGACCTCAGGGTCTCAGTGGTTAGCACTCTCTTGGTTGTAGGTAACAGACATTCAACCTGAACCTGCCTACCAGAAATGTATTGGCTCACTACTTGGGAAGTTCAGGCTTGGGCTGGCTTCAGGCTTAGCTGGATCCAGGAGTTTCAATGATGCTATATCCCTCTCCTTTCTCTCTATGCTTTAGCTCTGCCTCCCTCTGTGTGTGGGCCTTGCTTCTTCCTGTGCATGATAGGAGGTGGGATACTCCAGGGTCACATCTTCCCAGGACAGCAGTGCTCATTAAACAGCCTTCCTCTCTTGCTTGGCAGAGACACTAGGCATGGGGCTCTCCTGGCCTGACTGCAGCTGGGGCTCCTGTGATGGGGTGGGATAAGAAGGGCAGGTTGGTGCCCTGAGAGTGGAAAGAGGTGCTGGGCAGATAAGCAAGGCTTGTCCACTAGGGGTGCTGGCAGCACCGTAGAGGAAGGTGGGGACCAGGCTCCCAAGGGTCTTGTGGGACCAGTTAGGAGTTTGGATTTCCTTCTGGAAGCAACTGGAAACGAACCAGAGTTCTAAAGAAAAAAGTGATCCAGCTGGAAGACGGAAGCCAGCCCAGTGCCCAGCCAGACAAGGAACAGCGGTGGGTGGGGAGGGGACAGGAGGCAGCAGATGGGACAGGAGGCAGCGGAGGGGGAGTTGAGAGCGGGGAGTCAAGAGGTGGGAGCTGCAGAATTTGGCATCTCTTCCCATGACTGTGAAGTGTTTAGAGACTGGCTTGGGCTAACGTGGGAGCTCACTAGGACCCACCATCTCTTGCTGCATGTAGATGCTAATTGAGAGTGGGAAGGCAGGCAATTGAAACACTTATTTTTTATCATATAAGAAAAGAAATGCCAGCTGCAGTGGCTCATGCCTGTAATCCCAGCACTTTGGGAGACTGAGGTGGGTGATCACTTGAGCCCAGGGTACAAGACCAGCCTGGTGACATAATAAGACCCCATCTCTGCAAAAAATATACAAAAGTTGGCCAGGTGTTGTGGTGTGTGCCTGTAGTTCCAGTTACTTAGGATGTTGAGGCAAAAGGATCACTTGAGCCCAGGAAGTCGAGGCTGCAGTGAGCCGTGATCACGCCACTGCCTCCAGCCTGGGTGACAGAACAAGACCTTGTCAAGAAAAAAGAAGGAGAAGGAGAAGGGGAAGGGGAAGGGGAAGAAGAGGAGGAGGAGGAGGAGGAGGAAGGGGAAGGAGAAGGAGAGGGAGAGGGAGAAGGAGAAGGGGAAGGGGAAGGGGAAGTGGAAGGGGAAGAAGAGGAGGAGGAGGAGGGAGGGGGAGGGAGAAGAAGAGGGACAGGGAGAGGGAGAAGGAGAAGGAGAAGGAGAAGGAGAAGAACAAAAAGAGCAAAACCTAGCCACAGCACGAGGCTATGGGGAAGATCAGAAAAAGAACTGGGCCAGGGGAAGTCTGTATTCCGTTTTCTGTCATTGGTTAGAAGATGACCTTGGTTATTCCTTCGCCACTGTGGGCCTCAGTTTCCCCTCTGTGGATAACAGGTTGGGGTGAATGATCCCTAGGGTTCCCTCAGCATGATAGTGTCCCGGTTCTATTTTCAGAAATGGAAATCCCTGTTTGGGACTGAAGCTACGCATCACACTCTGTGGCTCAGTGGCGCTGTCGGAAGAGCAGGCCTGGGGATGCGGGGAGTGTGATTTTCTTCACACTGTCTAAATAACATGCAGGGGCCTTTGGTGGCCACACATGCCCCGGCCCCTTATAAAGCCCCTGCCCTGTGGTGGCGTGGTCATAAACTTTCCTGCAAAGGTCATGTGAATTTATCGCCCCCAATACTTTATAATTAGAAATTATGGCCTCCCTTCCGCATGACACTTTTGAGCCTTAGCAGATCTTAAATTAAAACTATGTTTATGTTTCAAAATGTTCTTCAGAAAACTTTAAACTCATGAGTTGAAAATTTGACTTTAAAAAGTTCTGAACACTTATCTAAATAAACACTCAGGTTTGACCTAACATGTATGAAGCAATAAACTTGGAATTAAACTCATGTGTTAAAACTGATTATATCTGGAATATAAAAACATATCAAAGCAGGCTTCTGGGGGGAATACTTCTGGGTGTATGGTAAATTTCTTTTTTCTGGGGGAGTTGGAGTGGGCTACAGGCCTCTCCCAAGTGACCAGGAAAGAAACATGGAGTGTCCTTGTTCAGAAAAGAGAGAGAGAGAGAGAGTGAGTGTGTGTGTGTGTGTGTGTGTGTGTGTGTGTGTAGGTAGGTAGGTAGGGATATGAAGTGATATGTTACTTCTCTAGGCTGTACAGTTTCTAAAATGTTTTTAATGATTTCCCTTGACTCCATTTCCCTTCTTTATTTCTTCATCTCCTGCCAGGGAAGATGGATAGATGGCGGCCAGGAGTGCCGCCGCTTCCCCTCCCTCTGTGCCAAGATGCCGAAGCCTGCCTGCTCCAGGCTTTCCCTCCAGGCTTCCTCCTCCAGTTTCTTTTTCCTCTTCTACTCCTGATGGATTTTTCCTTCCTCCTTCAAAAAGGCCCTCACGCCTACCCGCGGAAGAGATGCTGAACTCGAGTAAAGTGAAACGACTTTATTGCATTATTTGACAGATACTTACTTTTCCCCCTGAGGAGAAATTCATGAACCGGTATCAAAGGATGAGAGTGTGGCCTTTGTTTCTCTGGGCCACACATGATGGGTGTGTCACCTGTGATCTTCATCCATTTGAAATCCATGGATTTCCACTGACTCCCGGCTGAGCAGCTCAGCAGAAGCGCTCTCAGGTCGGCTGGCAGATGCACACACAGAAGTAAAGAGGTTTGAAATGTAATAGGAGGAAAATATTGACACTAATTTTTCATTCTCTAAAAATTATTTGTGTAAGGACTCTGGAATATTGTATTTTCTTCCAGGAAGATTTCACATGTAATATTTTGGTATATAATCAATAACTGCAAGTTGTGGAAATCTTCAAGTAACAAGATATGTTCTTTATGCTCAAATTAAGGAAAATGGTCAAGTCGTTAAAAAGGAAGGACAAGGAGAAAGAGAGAGAGAAGGTGAAGGAGAAGGCACTGTCAACATCTAGTAAAAAAACAAAACAAACAGCCTTGTGAGTCCTTGCTGCTGACATTGAGAAACTGACTCAGTTTCCCACATGTGCACATCCTCCTGCAACTTTTGTGTGTCTCGAGACACCGTGATCTCCTCCACCTGCAAGCTGGTTTTCATGCTCCACATACAAAGCAGAAAAGCAGATCCATCTAAAGCATGCAAGCTTTAAAAAAAACATTTTTAAAAAGGTATAGTTTGCATACAGTACAATCCATCCATTTCAAGTTTAAAATTCATATGTGGAACTATCTCTATAAGAACATTTTCATCACTCCAGTGAGTCCTCTTGAACCCCTCTGCACTCAGTTGCCTCCCCCTCCCCAGCCACTGGCAACCACTGATCTCAGTTGTTTCTGTTTTGCTTTGTAAAGACTGCCATAAAAATGAAATCAGACAGAAAACAGCCTTTCGCGTCCACCTTCTCACCCTCAGACTCATGCCCTGGAGGGTCATCCATGCCGTTGCACATATTTGAGCCTGCTGCTTTCTGTGACTGAGAATTCTATGGTCTGTATATACTACAATTGCTCATGCATTCATTGGCTGATGATCATTTAGGTTGTTTCTAGTTTAGGATGATTTTTAGTCAAGCTGCCTTTGTACACATGTGTTTCACCTCTCTCGGGTCTCTTGCAGACAATTTAATCTCACATCTTTCTAGGAGCTTGGTTGCTGGGTCCTGTGAGGGTGTACACTTACCTTTAGAGGAAACTGCCAAACTATTTTCCAGAATGGCCAGACCATTTTGCATTCCCACCAGCAATGTAGACAAGTTCAGCTGCCGATGGCTATAATACATAAAAAGAAAAACTGGAAAATGACACATTTTGGCAAGGATGTGGAGAAATGGGAATCTTCCTCCACTGTTGGTAGGAATGTAAAACGGCAAATCTACTGTGAATAACCATTTGGCAGTTCCTCAATAAGTGAAATACAGAATGACCATATGAGCCAGCAATCCTATTAATACTTTTGGGTATGTAACCAAAAGAATTAAAACAGCTGTTTGAACAAAAATGTGTACATGAACATTTATAGCAGCATCATTCACCATTGCTGAGATGTAGACACCACCTGCATGCCCATGCATGGATGAATGGGTAACAAGATGTGGTCCAGCCATACCATGGAATATTACTCAGCCATGCCATGTAAAGGGATGAAGTACTGTCACATGCTGCAACATGGACAGACCTTGAAAACAGTACATTAAGTGAAAGTAGCCAAAAACAAAGGGTGACATATTATACGGTTCCATTTCTATGAAATGCCCACAATAGGCAAACCAAAAGACAGACAGCAGAGGAGTCGTTGCCAGGGGTTGGGAGGAGGGCATGTGTTAATCATGTTTTTTATTTTCTGTATTTTACGGTGCTTTGACATCTTGGGTCCTTGCAGACCCAGGGAGGGACTCCCCCTCCCAGGGTTCACTAATTCCTGGAGATAGCAAACAACTTGTCTGAGAGCATGTCTTGATTTGCAAACCAACCAATATCCCCATCCACCTGATTGTATCAGCCTCCTGCAGATCATAACACTACCCACCCTTCCCTAAATCACCCCAGAGCCAGATACTGACAACTAGGGACCACTATAGCCCAGAGCCTGCTGAAATTGTTTCAGCTATTCAATCCTAAACGTGCTCAGCTTGCTCACCCTGCCCTACCTCTGCCGTGAAAACCACGATCAAGGATCTCTCACACGCTTTCCTCTCACCTCTTCTGCCTCCTGATCAATCCTGGTGCTTCGCCATAAGACCCTGCCAGGTGTACTGCACCTCCTGTTTCCACGGACCTGTCAGTATAAAACTCCTCCCTTCATGACAGTCATTTCCATACCTGCATGTCTTATTTCCCCCAATTAAAACAAATCCTGGGTATATGTTAAAACAGAGGGGAATAGGGAGTGAGTATTAGTGGGTACAGGGTTTTCATTTGTGCTGATGAAAAGACTCTGGAACTATTCATATATAGTGGTAGTGGTTGTGCAACATCATAAATGTGACAGACGCATCTTTTTTACCACAATAAAGACAGGAAACAGCTTCAGTTTCTCTGCATCTTCGTTAGTACTTGCTAGCATCAGTCTTACTAATTCTAGCCATTCTAGTAGGTGCACAGTTATCTCTTGGTGATTTTAATTTGTATTTCTCTAATGACTAATGATGTTGGCTTTTTTTCTACCAAATGTCATTTTGATTCTGAAATAATTTTAGATTCACATAATAGTTGCAAAAATAGTTCAGAGAGTTCTCATACGCCCTTCATTCAGTCTCCCATAATCTCACAAAGCCATAGTACAGTGGTGGAAACCAGGAAACTAACATGGATATAATACTATGAACTAATCTATAGACTTCATCAAATTTTCCTGTTTTTACACTTTTTTTTTCTGGTCCAGGATTTAATCTGGATGCCACATTGAATTTAACTGTCAAATTTCCTCTAATCTGTAACAGATCCTCAGTCTTTCTTTGTCTTTCATAACTTCTGCACTTTTGACAAGTCCTGGCCAGTGATTTTAAAGAATGACCCTCAAATTGAGTTCATCTGATGTTCTTTCATGAACATATTGAGGTTATGCATTTTGGGTAAGAATACCACAGAAGCGATATAATGTATGTGGAATGTATTATTACTGCTGATGCAACTTTGATAACTGGGTTAGGTGAATGCTAGTTTTCTCTATTATAAAGTGACCCCTTTTCCTTTAGTGTGGAAATTACTAATTCCAAATTAGTAAGAATCTTGTGGGAAGGGACTTTGAGACCAGGAGACTATCCTGTTTTTCATCCTATTTTTACTCAATAATTTTAACATCTATTTGTGATTCTTGCCCACAACAGCTTTTATTGTGGTGCTTGCCAAATAGTGATTTTCTATTTGCATTATTTCTTCTCCATTTACTAATTAGAATTCTATTGTAAGGAAGAGCAGTTCCCTTCCCCATTTATTTATTTATTTGCTATTTATATCACTATTGACTAATCGATATTTATTTTACACTGTGGAGTATAATCCAATACTACCATTTATGCTGTTGCTCTAACTGCCTCAGCTTTGACCATTGGGATCACTTTCACGTTGGTACCTGTGTCTCTCCCAAATGTCCTATCATTTTTGAGCACGTCTTTTTCTTCGGCATTACAAGAATCTCAAGATTTGTTGACCATCTTTTAATATACTTAGTGGCCATTTGTCTGTCATCTTTGGTGAAACGTCTGTTCAAATATTTTGCCCATTTTTAATTTGGTCACTTATCTTCTTATTAAATGGGTAAGAATTTTATATAAATTCTAAATACAATTAAATGGGTAAGAATTTTATATAAATTCTAAATACAATTCTAAAATTCTAAATAAGAATTTTACGTAAATTCTAAATACAATTCTAAATTTTTATAAATTATAAGTAAAAATTTAATATAAATTCTAAATTTCTTTATTTAATGTATATTTGAAAGTATTTTCTCTCGCAGTTTTCATCTTAATTTCATTTTCTTAACAGTCTTTCAAACAGTTGAAGTTTTCAATGTTGATAGAGTCCAATTTATCACCTTTTCTTTCATGGTTTGTATTTTTGTATCATATCTAAGAAATCTTTGCCTAACTCAGATATCAAAAAGACCTTTTCTGTATTTTCTTTTAGAACGTTCATTGCTTTAGCTCTTTTATTTATGTGATTTATTTCTGGCTAATTTTTGTTTACAGTGTAAGATTAATAGTTGAGGTTGATTTCTATTACATATTAATGTTCAATTATTCTAGCACCACTTATTGAAATTAATATTCTTTCCCAATTGAATTTTCCTGCAAATTTTTCAAAAATCCATTGACCATATACATGTGAGACTATTTCTGAGCTATCTGTACTTTTCCATTACTATATATCTGTTCTTACATTAATAAAACACTGTCTAGATTTCTGTAGTTTTATAGCAAGTCTTAAAGTAGTGGGAATCCTCCAACTTTGTACTTCTTTTTAAAAATTATTTTGTCCATTCTAAGTTGTTTGCATTTCCATATAAATGTTAGAATCTGAATTTCTACCAAAAATACCTGCTGGCATCTTGGTTGGTATTGCCTTAAATCTACAGATCATCTTGGGGAGAACTGAGATCTTAATAATATTGAGTCTTCAAAACTGTAACAGATCCTGAACATGTATTATTAGATTTATACCTAGGCAATTATTTTTATTTGTTTGTTTGTATTTTGGTTTGGTGCAACGCTAAACAGCACTTTTAATGTTTTCTTTTTCAGCTGTTCATTGACAGTATACAGACATTAAACTGGTCTTTGTATACTGACTTTGTACCCTGTGACCATGCTAAACTCATTTACTGTTCTACGAGCTTCTGTGTAAATTCTTGGGATTTTCTACATAGATAATCATGTTGCCTATGAATAAAGAGTTTTTATTCTTCCTTATCTATGTGCCTTCCGTTACTTTTTCTTGACTTATTTCAGTGGATAGGCCTCCAGTACAATATTGAAAAATGCAGTGAGAACAGAAATCCTCACCTTTTCCCCAATCACAGCAGGAAAGCATTCAGTCTTTGCCAAGAAGTATGATGTGAGATGTAGGCTTTTCATACATGCTCCTTATCAGGTTGAAGAAGTTCCCCCCTATTTTTAGTTTTCTGAGAGTTGTTTTTAAATAATGAATTGGTTTTGCATTTTGCCAAATATTCTTTCTGCATCAATTAAGTTGATCATATCATTTTTTTTCACTTTTAGCCTGTTGATATGGCAAGTTATGTTCACTGATTTTCAAATGTTGAACCAACCTTGCATCCATAGGATAGACCCTACTTGAACATGACATATTATCACTTTCATATATTACTGGATTTCATTTGCTAATATTTTGTTAAGGGTTTTGTGTCTAATTTAGTTTTTTGGTCGGTTCATTTTTTTTTTCTTGTAATGCCTTTTCTTGATTTGGGTATCGGGGTAATCCTGGCCTCATAAATTGATTTGGGAAGTGTTTCTTCCACTTCTACTTTCTGGAAAAACTTGCATGTGATTGGTATTATTTCTTCTTTAAATGTTTGGCAATATGTATCTGTGAAGCCATCTGGGCCTGTGCTTTTCCTTGTAGAATCCAAATACATTCAAATCGCTATAAATTCAATTTCTCTAAAAGATGTAGATTTATTCAAGTGGTTTATTTCTTCATGAGTGAATTTTGGTAGTTTGTGTTTTTAAAGGAATTGTTCTGTTTCATCTAAGTTATCCAATTTATTGTCATAAGGTTGTTCATAACATTTTCTTATTATCCCTTTAATTTTTTTAGTATCTGCTTTATTTCTAACATTGGTACTTTGTATTTTCTCACTTTTTTCTTATTCATTCTGGATAAGGGGTTATTGATATTTTATTGTTTTTATGATTCTATTTTTTTTTACTTCTGCTCTTTATCATTTGCTTCCTTCTGTCTACTGTAGGTTTAATTTTCTCCTCCTTTTGTGGTTTATTAGAGTGGAAGCTTAGTGGTTTCAGACCTTTTACCTTTTGTAATATAAGCAGTTAATGATATGAATTTCCATCTAAGCACGACTTTACCTGCATCCTACAAATTTTGATATGTTTTACTTTTATTTCATAATTCAAATCATTTTATAATTTATTTTGTATTTCTTCTTCCACCTAAGAATTATTTGCTACTTACCGGCCAACTATTGGTGGCGTTTCCAGATATCATTCTGTTGTTCATTCCTGAATTGATTAAATTGTGGTCAGAAAATACACTTTGTGTGATTTCAGTCCTTTTAATGTTGTGATTTGTTTCATGGCTCAGAACATGTTCTATCTTAGTGAATATTCTGTGTACACCTGAAAAGGATGTGTATTCTGAAGATGGTGGAGTGTTCTGAGAAATGTCAGTTAAGTCAAGTTGGTTGGTACTGGTTTTCTAATCTTCTACTGCCCTCCTGATTATTTTGTATACTTTTTCTGTCAATTACCGAGAGAAGAGTATGGGACTCTCCAACTATCATTATGGATGTGTCCATTTATCATTTTAGTTCTCTCAGCTTTTGCTTTACGCATTTGGAAGCTCAGGAGTAGGGACAAACACAATTAGGATTGCAATATCTTCTTGATGAATTGACCAAGTGGTTTATAAGGTCTTTCTTTGTCTTTGTAATATTTCTTATGCTGAATTTTAGTTTTTCTGATATTATTATAGCCACTTCAGCTTTCTTTTAATTGGTCTCTACATGGTATTTATTTTTCTATCTTTTCTCTTTTCACCTTTTTAAGTCTTTACACTTAAAGTATTTTGTGTTTTTTTTTACTCATACAGTGAGTCTTGTTTTCTTTCCAGTTTTACAATCTCTGCCTTTTAATTGGAGCCTCTGCATGTAATTGCTTATAGGGTTGAATTTAAATCTATAACTTGTTTGCCTCTTTTTTTTTTTTTTTTTTTTGAGACTGAGTTTCGCTCTCGTTGCCCAGGCTGGAGTGCAATGGCATGATCTCGGCTCACCTGCAACCTCCGTCTCCCCAGGTTCAAGTGATTCTCCTGCCTCAGCCCCCCGAGTAGCTGGGACTACAGGCATGCGCCACCATGCCTGGCTAATTTTGTATTTTTAGTAGAGATGGGGTTTCTCCATGTTGGTCAGGCTGATCTTAAACTCTCCACCTCAGGTGATCCACCTGCCTCGGCCTCCCAAAGTGTTGGGATTACAAGCGTGAGCCACCGCGCTGGGCCCACTTGTTTATCATTTATTCATTCTGCGCTCTGTTCCTTTTTTCCAATTTTCTTGTCTTCCTTTGGATTAATTAAATATTGTTGTGTATTCAATTTTACCTTATAATTGGTTTATTTCTACAGTGTTCTCTCTTTCCTTCTCCCTCTGTTGTTGCCTTAGAGTTTACAATATGCATCTTTAAGTTATCACAACCTATCTTCAAATACTGTTATACCTTTTCACATGTAGTATGTGAACCTCACAATAGTGTACTTCCATTTCCTGCTCATTCTTTGTGCTTTTGTTGTCATGCATTTTGATTCTTCATATGTTATGAATTTTACCATTGTTGCACTTTTAGTTTAGACAATCATCTCTGAAAAAGATTAAAATGTAAGTAAACAATATCTTTTATGATTACTCATTTTTATGAGTTCCAGCATTCCTCATTTGTTTGTACAGACCCAGATAGGCATTTGGTATCATTGATATCATACATTTTCTGCCTGAAGAACTTTCCTTAATATTTTTTGTTGTGCAGGTGTGCAGGAAACACACACCTTATTTGTTAATCTTAAAAAGTCTGTTTTGCTTTCACTTCTGAAAAATATTTTCACATTATATGGAATTCTGGGTACACAGCAACATTTTCTTTCAGTACTTCAAAGATGCCACTCCATCGTCTGTTGGCTTACAACATTTCTAATAAGAAATCTTCCCTAGCTTTTATCTTTGATCTTCTGCGTGTGATGTGTATTTTTCTTCAGTTTTTTTTAAAGAGATCTTATCTTTATCTTTTGTTTCTATTTGTCCTAAAATATATCTTGGTGTGATATATCTGAACTTCTTTGATCTTCAGGGATTTCTTGGGCTATTTTTCCTTAATTTTAGTAAATTATTAACTACTGTCACACAAATCTTATTCCTGCCCCACTATCTTGCTCTCTTTCTCTTCTCTTCTTGGGACTACAATGACATATATGTAGACTGTTTGATGTTGCCTCACAGCTCTTGAGTGCTCTGTTTTGTTATTCTTTTTCTGCTCTTTTTTCTTCTTTGTTTCAGCTTGGATGATTTCTACTGGTTAACTTCAATAACATTTTTTCCTCTAATGTCTCTACACATTTCTGATAAGCTTCTCAAAGGAATTCTTCACTGCTATGGTATACATTTTTAATAATTTTTAATCTCTATCATTTTCATTTGACTCCACCCCCCCCCCTTTTTTTTTTTTTTTTTTTTAGACAGAATCTCACTGTGTCGCCAGGCTGGAGTGCAGTGGCATGATCTCAGCTCAGTGCAACCTCCACCTCCTGGGTTTAAGTGATTCTCCTGCCTCAGACTCCCAAGTAGCTGGGATTACAGGAGCATGCCACCATGCCCAGCTAATTTTTGTATTTTTAGTTGAGACAGGGTTTCACCATGTTGGCCAGGATGGTCTCCATCTCTTGACCTTGTGATCCACCCGCCTTGGCCTCCCAAAGTGCTGGGGTTATAGGTGTGAGCCACCATGCCCGGCCATTTGATTATTTTATAGTATTTACTTCTTTGCTGAAATTTCTCATGTGTTCATACGTGTTTTCTATCTTATCCTGGATCTTCTATTATATTAATTACAGTAATTTTCAATCCCTGTCTGATATTTCCAACATCTTGATCATCTCAGGGTCTGATTTTGCTGATAGCTTTGTCTCTTAACAATGGGTCATCTTTTATACCTTTTTGTGTATTACATAATTTTTTATTGAATGTGGAAAATTCTACATAAAATAAAAGTAGAGACTAATCTAAATAGTACTTATGCCTAGAAATGAGCATGTGTCTTCTGATGATAGGTGTTTTGTACAGGAGTTGAGGCAATCTGTTCAGTAGTTGAGTTGGGTGTATAATTTCTGTTCTTAGAGTTACCTTTAGTGGGTAGACTTCAAATTTCTTCTTTGGAGGTCTGCTGCTTCCCTGTGATTACTTGGGTCTGGAATGCTATAGGGTTTCCCTCTATATTTCTGCTATACCTTCAGCTCTCAATGTGCCCTGTACATCTGCACCACAGAGAAGGGCTTTCTCCACTTACAGTCTCTTCCAGTCACAGCCTGCTATGCTTGTTACTTGGTGCAAGCCTTAGGATAGGGTCAGGAGAGATTTCTCAATTCTCTTGCTCCAGCCTCAGTCATAGGTGTGCATCTGGGCCTCAAAGGTGGGGTTGTGGCAGCATCCCTAACTTTCCCCCATGACAACCAAATTCTTGTTTGTTAGTGTCTGGGAGGGTCTTGGGTAGAAGAGAGTTTCCTAATCCTCCTTCAGCAACAAGTAGTAGACTTCCGCTTTGTATCAGGGCAGTTTACTGTGCCTGAGTCAGGTTCCAGCCCCTCCTGTAAAGAAGATGGCTTTTGCTTCCTCCCCTTCGTGAAAGACAGAGCATCTTTGCCTGATTTCTGGGAGCTGTCCCTTCCCAGCATGGCTTTTGCTACATGTTGGACATGGGTCCATGATGTAGGCAGGCTTTCATGTCTAGTGATACAGACTCTCTCAGGTCTCCTTCCCTCTTTGTGATCTTTCACAAAAGTACTTGGTAAAGGTCCATAGAAAAAAGTCAGTGAGTGAGTGCGGGCTCTCTTGTGTCTAGAATTACCAGGGATTCTGATGCAGGGCAAGCAAGCACCAAGATTGGGGCTTAGCCTGGGAGGGTTCTTGGCTTCACCTAGGAAAGAATTCAAGAGCAAGCTGGTGGTGTTGGACAGCAACTTTTATTGAAGCCACAAAATAGAGCAGCAGCAGAGGTCCTGCTCCTCGTGGAGTGGGGCTACCCCATAGGGAGTGTGCCCAGAGTAGCATCTTAGGGCCGTTCTGTAGTCACATTTATAGCCACTTTTAATTACATACAAATTAAGGGGAAGATTATTCAGACATTTCTAGAAAAGTGTGGTAACTTCCAGGTCCTTGCCATGGAAAGGGGCAGTATCCTCCAGGCATTGCCATGGCCATGGTAGACTGTCATGGTGCTGGTGGGCATGTCTTATGGACAGGTGCTTTTGGTGCCTCTTACCCCTTTCAGCCAGCCTTCAATCTCATCTGATACAGAGTCCTGCCTCCTACATCAATTCCACACTGTCACGCCAGCCCATTGTATTGGTTTGTTAAGGGGGCTGTAAATTACCACAGACTTAGTGGCTTAAAACAACAGAACTTAATTCTCATACAGTTTTGGAAGGCAGAAGTCTAGAAACAAAGTGTCAGCAGTGCCCTATTACTACAGAGGCTCTAGTGTGGAATTCATTCCTTGCCTCTTCTAGGTTTGCCAGCTTCCTTGGCTTGTGGCCACATGACTCCAATCCCTGCCTGTCTTCATGTCACCTTTTCCTCTGTGACTTTCTTCTCCTCTTTATGTCTTATAAGAGCACTTGACAGAAGATTTAGGACCCACTTGAGTACTCCAGGATGATGTTCTCATTTCAAGATCCCTAATTACATCTGCAAAGACCCTTTTACCAAATAAAATGACAACTACTATGGGTTAGGACATGGACATGCCTTTTTGGGTGGCCACCATTCAACCCAATATATCCATACTCAGCATTTAATAAACGATTAGATTTCAACTATTTCTTTTTTGCTTGTTTTTGTGTTAACTTTTCTTACACTTTGCCAAACATAAAATAATCCATATGTCCCAACTCTCCTCAGTGGGCTTGTCACTCTTTGTGGTTCAGTTCACCTGTTTGCCTTGTACCCTCAGCTCTCAAGAAAACTTATGATCTTACAGACTATGTGGCGTCTTCTGGTGGTTAGAGTAGGAACAGTGTTCTCTGGCAGCGTTCTACAGCCCAAGCAGAAATAGAACTCCCTCACTTGGAAAGCCTGTGGCATGGTTGCCTCACCAGGTCAGGACTCTGGTCAGTAGAAGCAATTAGGTTGTCTTGTAGATCACTCATGACATTTGCAGTTATCACTCCCACTTGCAGCCAATGAGTCTTTTTCTCAGAATAATTTTTCTAGTCTTCTAAGTCTTGAAGGGAACTAATTTGTAAATTCACAAAGGTGGGACTTCTGGGGTTTTCCAAGTGTGAGCTCTTCCCCACTTAAGATCTGATACCATAAAGTGCATCCTATCAGTGCGCCATCCATCCTCCAGTACCCATGTGGACAGAGCGGTGTCCCGGCCTGTGCAGTAGGTGACACGCAGGGATTTGGCAGAAGTCCCGAGTGGGGTCCTGGGTCCTTCCCTTCCATCCGCAGCACCCATATGGGGATAGCCCCTCATAGGTGGTATGAATCACACCCCCCTTTCACTCTCAAGTATCATTTTTTAGAAAATAAACAGGTACCCTACCCCTAGGGGCTCAGCTGCCCAGCATTGTCAGAGCTCCTTGATGCACAGTGCTTTGCCTCCTGAACTATTTCTGTGTTCTTCTGCCCCAGACTCACCCCTGGAGCAATGATAGCTCGGGTCCCTGAGCACTGACCCTCACTTTCCTTAGCATGACTCTGCCCTTGGAAGCAGCCCTGGGGAGCCTCCTGCTCAGCTCCTCCAGTCTCCAGGGCCCTTCCCTGGCACTGGGTATGTGGCCAGGATGCTTCTGGACCTGGGTGTGGGCAGGCTTAGCGGTGTGAACAATGGAACCCAAGCCCAGAGAGGCAGAGCATTTAGATCGGGAGTCTGCATCGAATAGGACAGCTGGCCCACACACTTGTAGATTTACCTGGAAGTTCCTACTTGTTTGGGGACAAGGGTATTGATGATGAAGGGCAGCTCTGCACAGACCCAGGAGCCAAGGGCATGTTCACGTCCTCCCAAGTGAGGAGGGAGGAGGGACCACTGCCCACCACCCTGAAGCTCATGCTTGTCCTTGACTCCTTTTTCTCTTCATCCTAACATTCCTTATCGTTTTGGGTTGTGAAAATATTTCATGCTAAGTAACTTCTCCTTTGACGTTTTATCCTTTTTACAATGGAGTTTGTGCTTCCCCCTCCTTTTTCTCGGTAGGGAAGGGACTCCCAGAGCCCTGAACTTCAGGGAGGACACACCAACACACGAAGGCACACACACACACAATCTCTGATCCTCCTGCTGACACGTGGCTCATTAATCACACTCCACAGCTCACATTGTCCAGAGCTTACATCACGAAGCAGCGTCCTGTGAAGAGGCTGGGTCTGAAGAGCACATGAGGCAGAGAATGTGCATTGTCAAGTTGATTTACACTTAGAAGAGTCAGCAACAGATTGTTGGCATCATGAATCGTGGCTTAAAGATCTTTGCATCGCAGGAAGAAGGGCTCCTTCGGCATCTGAGGGTTTCAACCCTCTGGCTCCTTCAGTGAGGTCTTTCATGTGGGAAAGTGATCATGAAAAATGCCACCTTTCTTTGGAAGGGGCTTCTCTGAGATTCTAAAATATTTGAATTCACCTTAAAAGGGAAAGATGGGCATTCTGTCCTTGATTTGTCTGCAGACCTCACCACCTTGACAGATATGTAGAGTTGTGATCTTGGGTGAGTAACTCAACGTTTCATGACCTCATTTGTTTTTTTATAAATTGGGATGAAAAACGGCACACATCCAGTGAGCTGGCCCTAATGACTAAGACAAAGAGTGCACAAGAGTGAAGTCTGATGTAGGCGTTAGAGATCGTTCTCATGCTCATTCTCGCAGACACTGCCTTGAGTTTCACAGGCTGTGCTTTTCATGTCCCTGTCCCCTCTCCCCAAGAGAGCCCAGGGAGAGCCCTGTGACTAACACAGAGCTTCACTTCCTGCAATTCCTCTCCCACAAGGAGCACTTCTGTCTTCTGATTCAGGACGATGTTCCTATGGAGGCAGAATAATGGCCCCCAAGATGCCCACATTCTAATCCCCAGAGCCTGTAAATATGTGACCCTCCATAACAAAAGGGACTTTCCAGATGTGATTAAGAGTTTTTTTGTTATTTATTTATTTATTTTTTTACTTTTTTCATGAAAAAAATCATTTGAACTTTTATTTTAGATTCAGGGGATACACGTGCAGGTTTGTTATATGGGTATGTTGCTTGATGCTGAGGTTTGGGGTACTAAAGATCCCATCACCCAGGTACTGAGCTTAGTACCCAAAAGTTAGTTTTTCAACCCCTGTTCTCCTTCCTCTCTCCCTCCCTCCGCCAGTAGCCCCTAGTGTCTATTGTTGCCATCTTTATGTCCATGAGCCCCAATGTTTAACTCCCACTTATAAGTGAGAATATGTGGTATTTGGTCTTGTGTTCCAATTTCACTGATACAGACCCTCCTGTCTTCCAATTATTCACTTAGGATGATGGCTGACAGCTACATGCATGTTGCTGTCAAGGACATGATCTCATTCTTTTTTATGGCTGTATAGTATTCCACAGTGTATAGGTACCACATTTTCTTTATCCAGTCCACTGTGATGGACATCTAGGTTGACTTCATGTCTTTGCTATTGTGAATAGTGCTGCAATGAACATATGTGTGCATGCATCTTTTTGGTAGAATAGTTTATTTTCCTTCAGGTATATACCCAGTAATAGGATTGCTGGGTCAAATGATGGTTATGTTTCAAGTTCTTTGAGAAATCTCCAAACTGCTTTCCACAGTGGCTGAACTAATTCACATTCTCACCTACAGTGTATAAGCATTCCCTTTTCTCTACAGCTTCACCTGCATCTGTTAGTTTTTGACTTTTTAATAATAACCATTCTGACAGGTGTGAGATGGTATCTCACTGTGGTTTTGATTTGCATTTCTCTGTTGATTAGTGATGTTGAGCATTTTTTCATATGTCTGTTGGTTGCTAGTATGTCCTCTTTTGAGAAGTGTCTGCTCGTATCTTTTGCTCAATTTTTAATGGGGTTGTTTTTGGCTTGTCCAATTATTTAAGTTCCTACTAGATTCGGGATATTAGACCTTTGTAAAATGTATAGTTTGAGAGTATTTTCTCCTATTCTGTAGGCTGTTCTGTTTACTCTGTTGATAGTTTCTTTTGCTATGCAGACGCTCCTTAGTTTGAACAGGTCCCACTTGTCAATTTGTGTTGTAATTGCTTTTAAGGACTTAGTCATAAATTCTTTCCCAAGGATGATGTTCAGAATGGTGTTTCCTAGGTTTTCTTCTAGGATGCATATAGTTTGGGGTCTTATAATTAAATCTTTAATTCTTGTGTTAATTTGTGTGTATGGCGAAAGGTAGAAGTCCAGTTTCATTCATCTGCATATGGCTAGTCAGTAATCCCAGCACCATTTATTGAATAGAGAGTCCTTTCCCTATTGCTTATTTTTTTTTTAACTTTGTCAAAGATCAGATGGTTGTAGAAGTATGGCTTTACTTGTGCGTTCTCTATTCCGTTCCATTTGTCCAAGTGTCTGTTTTTGCACCAGTACAATGCTGTTTTGGTTATTATAGCCTTACAGCATAGTTTGAAGTTGGGTAATGTGATGCCTCCAGCTTTGTTCTTTTTGCTTAGAATTGTTTTGGCTATTCAGGCTCTTTTTTGGTTCTGTATGAATTTTAGAATTTTTTTTCTAATTCGGTGAAAAATGCTGTTGGTGGTTTGATAGGAATAGCATTGAATCTGCAGATTTCTTTGGGTAATATGGCCATTTTAATGATACTGATTCTTCCAATCCATGAGCATGGAAAGTTTTTCCATTTGTTTGTGCTATCTATGATTTCTTTCAGCAGTGTTTTTTAGTTCTCCTCGTAGAAATGTTTCACCTTTTTGGTCAGATGTATTCCTAGGTATTCGTGTGTGTGTGACATTGTAATGGGATTGCCTTCTTGAACTGGCTCTCAGCTTGAACATTATTGGTGTATAGAAATGCTACTAACTTTCGAACATTGATTTTGTATCCTGGAACTTTACTGAAGTTGTTTGTCAGTTCCAGGAGCCTTTTGGTGGAGTCATGAGGGTTTTCTAGGTATAGAGTCACATCGTTGGTGAAGAGATATAGCTTGACTTCATTTCCTGTTTGGATGACTCTTATTTCCTTCTCCTGCCTGATTGCTCTGGCTGAGACTTCCAGCTTAAGAGTCCTGAGACAGTGAAATTGTCTTCAGTTATCTGGATGGGCCCAATGTCATCACAAAGGTCCTTATAATTCAGAGGCAGGAGGATCAGGATCAGAGAGACTGGAAATAGGACAGAAGCAGAGGTTGAGTGTCACAATGTGATCACATCAAGGAAGACAGATAGAAAACCTCCAGAAGCTGAAAGGGGCAAGGCAACGGGTTTGCCTCCAGAAGAGCACATTCCTGCAGATACCCCCTTGGCTCCATAAGACTCATTTCAGACTTCCTCCTCGAGAACCAGAAGATCATAGATTTGTGTTGTTTTAAGCCACTAAGCTCGAGGTGATTTGTGACAGCAGTACCAGGAAACTGACACTGCTCCCTCTGGACCCATCACCCAGGGTGAGTCCAAAGTGATGGTGTCACAGCTTCAGGCTTCACAGCCCCATTAGTGCTCTTGCTTTCCGGCTGAAGTGTGGTCTGTGGAGCCCTTGTGCCTCCAGGCAATTGGATTTGCTTAATTGCTTAATTTTCCTTCTAAAGTTCGCCCTAACCAGGGCCCCATGTGAGGCCTCTGACCAAATGCGACAACAGTTTTGACGAATGTGCAGGGAAGCCTCATTAAGATCAATAATTCTTCTTTCTCCATCAAAACCCACCCCAGAAAGATGCAACAGGGCTGGCACAGGGTGCCCTGGAGCTGTGTTGTGCCACAGCCCCACTGGGCCTGGGGGCAGAGGACCCAGCTTCTTGTCCTTCACTGCTGTTGACATATTTATTACAGATCCGTTTCCCAGTAGACCAGCCCCCAGGCACATTAGTGTAATAATGTAGAAAACCATTAGCAGGATCTTTTAGGACCTGGGGTTAAAGAAGCTGTGACATGCTTGCCACAGAGGAATCTAACTGGCTTATTGTTCATTTAAAAATCACGTTGAATTGTTCTAGCTTTGACATTCAGAGCTGCTATCCGATGTGTAAAATTAAGAAGCATGAAGGAACAAACCTTGCTAACTTCAAGAGAAGCTGGCAATTCAATTAGAATAATAATGGAAACCAACTGGGTGTAAAAACCTGCCTCACTCAGGGCCTCGGTTCCAGAGAGACTGGTCTTGCCCAGATCTGAAGGGTCTCTGTGACTGACAGTGAATTTCACACCCTGCAGGCCTCCAGGAAGAGGAAAGTGCATGTGGTCAGTGTGTTCTTTATCACGGTGTAGAGGCTGCGTGCTACCTGTAAAGCTGCAAAGGTATCATCAGACAGACTGGCAGATGCGGGCTGGAGTGGGAATCTTGCAGGAACAGAGCAGGATGCAGAGGTTGGCTTTGGAGTGATCCTAGGCTGTTTCCACCCTGGTGAGTTGAAATGTCCATGGTGATGAGACCTGTCCGAGAGGACAGTGCGGAGCCTGCCTCGATATTTTAGGCTGTTTCAGTCACTGGTCAAATCAGAGCTGTCTCCTTCCAGGAACACTGAACACAGCAAAATCTGATGTAACAGAAACTAACATTTATTGACTGAGTGTCCTCTGTGCCAGTCACCGTGCGAGCCCTGGAATGCTCCTTGCTCAGAACGCGGTACACAGTAAGTGCCCAATAAATGGGAACTGCTGTTTTTATTAAGGTCATTGGGATTACTGCTGATGATCAGATGTGAGGTGATCTTGTCTCCGCAGCAAGACTGGCTGCTCCATGAAGGGGGACGCCGTCACACGCACGTGCACACATGTGCTACGCATACATATTTTCACACCCCAAGAAGAGGTCAACACGCTCACCACACGTGGATGCTCATTAAACTCTCTTCAACTTGAAATGGAGTCAAATGTACATTCTTTTTTAGAAGTCTGCAGTGTGGAACCGAGTGTTTATGTAGCGTTGAATGACAGAGGTCCTGCCAACGTCCACTTGCCATAGTGAACATGTGTGTGTTTCATGGGCTTTGTTACCAAGGAGCTCGCTGATCCTTCCCACTGAACCTAAAGTGAAATCACAGCCCTGGGTCTAATGAGATCACTCTTTCCATTTTGGGCAAATAAAGATGGTTTTTTAAAAAGTTCTCTTCAAAGTCTGCTTTGAAGAGCGAGTGAGAGAGGTGGGTAGCAGATGAGGATGGAAGCAGAGCTCCTGTCACTTCCTGCCTTCCTTTTTAAAGCTCTTGATGAGCCTGCTTTTTGTGGGAGCCTTGGTTACTAACACGATGTTTTGGTTGGTAGGAATACTGGATTCCTGGAAGTAAGAGTGTTGGGACTCCAAGATGGGCATGCTGCCTAGTATCTCTTCATGCCATCCCTTCCCCAAACCACACTCAGAAGCATGACATATTTTTTATATATATAATCAGCAGAGTTTCTGTCCTCTGCTGCTTTCTGGGGGTCACAGTTTCTCCTGGCAAGTCATGTTACCCAGAGTTCTCATGCCTTGAACATGGTAGACTTGCTGCAGTGTAAGGACAGGGTGCCCAGTGTCACAGCATTTCCCAAGCTCTGTGGGAGAAACGCTGACCCCAAGCAGATCTGACCAGAGGGACCAAGGTGGGCTCACTGTGAATCAAGGGCAGCTGGGACATGGGTACACTTTGGTAATGTCTGTTCCATGAAATTCTTGTTAAAATGAACAGGACCATGTCACAGCATGAATTGTAGTCAGTATAATCAATCCCAAATTAGCCATTTAAATACCTACCTTCTATAACCCAATTCAGTTTACTGTTGAAGCCTAGATTGCCTACATGTATAATGGAAGTAAGTCAGTTAACTATGATATAAACCAGTAAATTTTTTTCTAGGTTAAGTTATATTTGGAATACAAAAATTACAGAGACCCAGATTTTAAATGTAAATTTTTTTTCTTAACCTGGAAGATGATCAAGGCAAGGGGTAGAGAAGAAAAAAAAGGGCACCAAATGCCAGCCTGAGGGTGAACTGTTCAGAATAGACTAGAAAAGAAATGGAAATAATTTAGGAACAAAAATATCCTAGTAAATAATGTTTATCTTCAGTGAGAAGACAAGTTCATCTTTGAAACAAGAATAAGATGATATGAAAAGGGAACAGAAAATAAAAGTAAGCCCTTGGACAATTTCTTTTTTATGAAACAACAACATGTGATTGCTAAAAAAAAGTTTTCAACAGAATATTTGGGAGATAAAAATCAAGAAAATCTCTGAGAAAATAGAATAATACATCAAAGAAACAAACAAATAAGCAAACGAAAGAGACAGGATTAAACCCAGAGGTCCTAGATTCGCTCCCCCTGAATGGGAGGGATTGTTCCATGCAGCCTCTGCTTGAGTTGGTATCCACACTCCAAGCCCTTGGAGCTGTTCTCTGACAAATCACTGCTTCAACAATGCAATTTGTCAGTTAAGTCCCAAGTGGGATCAAATCACCCTTCTCACTGTGCTTGGCTTACGTCAGCAATGAGTTTTACCCAAAGTCTGAATCTTGTTCTTTAAATTCCAAAAAAAAAAAAAAAAAAGATCCACTGTTGGGTAGTACTTTTGTTCACCCCATTGCACGTTTATATTTCCAGCTTTATCCCAGCTTCCTGTCATCAGGTTCTCAGCCAGCCCTGGTGTCCAGGGCATGTGGGAGCACTCTGGTTTGCCTTCTTGGCTGGAAGCCTATGTCTACTTGGAGATGATGGTGGTTCAGAAGGGCTGAGCAGAGGCCAGAGAGATCCACCAGGAGGAAAGCACTCCCACTCCAGCACTGTGTCAATGACCCTTAGCATTGTCAGAGATGGAGAGCGTGGGCTCCGGAACAGCCCAGGCATGTGAGGGCTGCCCATGGCTGGCTCCACACAGCCCTGGAAACACAGTGAGCACTCAGTCATCACTCACTCTGCTGTCATAAGTCTTCTCCAACCGCTAAATGCCCTAGTGGGAGAGGTTGAGAGATTCCCACAGGGTGGTGGACTTGCCACCAGAGCCCCATAGAGGAGGAAATGGCACTGGCTTGGCCTGCAGCTGGCTGAAAACTCTTACCAAAGGCATGCTGTAATCTCCAAGACATTGGAGCTCCATGGGTTGGAGCAACGGAAGAAGCCGAGGCCACCCTCCACCGGTTCGTTCACCCAGCGAAGCTTCAGTGCATGCTCTGATACCTCCCATCCTCACAGCAACCTTTAAGGGAGGGCTGATATCCTCTCCAGTTCACAGATGAGGAAAAGGAGGCAGCAGAGTGGCTGCATAGGTCACCCAAGGACCACGTAGAGAGGAAGAGGCAGAGCCGGGATTTGAACCAGGAAGTCTACCCATAAAGGTACCAGCTGCTTAGTCTACAGAGTGGACAAGGCTTCCTGCTCTGGCTGTGGGTGGGTTGTGGAAGGTAGAGGCTCAGACCCCCATCAGCTTCAGCCCCTCCTCCTGCTCAGTGGAACCCAGAAAATACAGATGGCTCTGGAAGCACAGTTGAGAATCACTGGGCAAGTTAGAAAGAGAGATGAGAGCCTGGGAGCCAGCCCGTGGGTTCCTGAACATCAGAGAGGTCCCAGGAAGGAAAGCAGGGCTGGGTGAAGCTGCTAAGGGCTTTGATGGTAGAGTTGTGACAGAAGGGTTTAATTCATCAAAAAAGAGCCAAAAAGTCACTGTAGGGAAACTGAGGAGGAGGATGCATGTCCTGACCTCAGCGAGTGCTCTGTCCGGTTGGAGACAAAAGACAGAGCACCACTGTGGAGGCCTCCAGGGCCCTGGAGATACAGACAAGGGATGCAGGGAGCTCCCTGTGTCCAAAGCGCTCAGGGAAGACTCCGTGGAAGGTGGTCATACCTGGCTTCCAAGTGGGCAGGGTGTGGGCAGGGGAAGGCACTGCAAAGTCCTTGGGAACAGGGGCAGGCTGTGGTTTCCCAGAGTGGGACAGGCACATGACGGAAGGAGCAGGGGAGTTGTCCTAGGAGTGAGGAGGAGAGTGATCTCCCTCTATAGAAAGGGAGCTGGAAGGAGGAGAACAGCAGGAGGAAGGGGTCAGAATAGAGGGAGAGGAAGGCCTGGCCAAGGCTTTGGAGGTTGATGGTTTAAAGATTTCAAGGGAAAATTGCTTTTGGCAATGATGGAGGATTTAGGGTAGGTGACGCTGGAAATAGGGCCATCAGCCTGGAAGGTGCCACAATAGCCTGGGAAGATAGAGAGCATCAGAGTCTGGATGGGAGCAGGAGGCAGGGGCAGGAGAGGAAAGGGTGAGTGGGGAAGGGGAAAGCAGCAGGAAGGCTGGCTCCAAACCTGGCCCCTGCCCAGCCACCAGCACAAATGGCCTGTGAGCTCCAGGTTTCTCATCTTTACAATGTGGATATGACAGTCACCATGTGACCATGCAGCGGTGTCTTGAGGGCTTCGTGGGAAGGTGACAGTAATGGGTCCAGCACAGCTGGCTCCTTGCAACGCAAGAAACGGCACTGATGTTTCCTGTCCTCAGAGGGACCTGGTGACAAACTGGCTGTGAGGCTGAAAGAGGAAGGAGTCAGAGAGGGATGCATGACGTAAGCCAGGCTTGCTGGAACCAAGGTGGACCATGGACACCTAGGTGGGATCAGCCCCACCCGTATCACTCGTGGACAGGATGCAAGTGGGCAAGGTGGCTTCCTGCTGCCCTTGGAGGGGTGAGATCAGCGGGGCAGACAGACTTGCGCTGCCCGGGCCCCCTGATCTCCAGACACCGCCAGACTCTCCCCACTTACCCCACTTGCCCTTTCTAAAATGCAAAGAACCTGAAGAACTGGGAAACCTCATCCAAAGCCCACCACTGCAACTCCAGAGAACTGTCTCCTTCTGGAGGTTTCTTATTCAGAGTTTCACACGCAAACAAATCAACAAAGGAGCTATGAACCAGAATCCTCCAACCAGGGCTGTCCCTGGCCTCTGGAAAGGGGATTTCTCATGCAGGAGATGTATAATATGTGTCTGTCAGATCAGAGAAATTGCAATCACTGTCAGATCTGTGGGATTTTCTGTCTTCCCTCAGATGGATGTGGCTAAGATCATGTCAGAAGACAACACTGAGGTCTAAAAGGCCAAAGGGCAGAAACAAGAAGTAGAAGAAATATATTCATTGGCTTGTTTGGCAATACGGAGTCACAAATTGCACTGTTTGAATTTAAAATGTTTTAAAAATTGTATTGTCAAGACCATTTAAGAATTTGGAGTAATCCTCATAATCACTTAATATTAACCCACTATGTGTCCATCTGTTTCCCTTTCTCTTTGACCCTGGATGTTCTAATGTAATCAGCATTTTCTGAGTTGAAAGTTGAAGCTAGGCCGGGCGCGGTGGTTCACGCCTGTAATCCCAGCACTTTGGGAGGCCGAGGCGGGTGGATCACGAGGTCAGGAGATCGAGACCATCCCGGCTAAAACGGTGAAACCCCGTCTCTACTAAAAATACAAAAAATTAGCCGGGCGTAGTGGTGGGCGCCTGTAGTCCCAGCTACTTGGGAGGCTGAGGCAGGAGAATGGCGTGAACCCGGGAGGCGGAGCTTGCAGTGAGCCGAGATCCCGCCACTGCACTCTAGCCTGGGCGACAGAGCGAGACTCCGTCTCAAAAAAAAAAAAAAAAAAAAAAAAAAAGAAAGAAAGTTGAAGCTGAGGATGACGAGAAGGAAGAAGGTATATTAACAAATAAATGTAGACCAGGATCACACTGATTCAATTTTGTCATGAAGGAGAAAAAGTGAACACCAGGTCCAACTCTGAACTTGAGGTTTGAGAGCTGAGACTTAATTGAGAGCAGAAATAGAAACACATTTGCTCGCTGGGCTTTGACCATCTGCCAGCAGCACATCGATGGTTTCCTCAGTGTCTGTGCGTCATGTTCATGATGTCTCCTGTTTTCTCTCCACCCCGTATTCAAAAATAATTGAGAAGATTCAACAGAAGTGGTTCTATCTCTGTTTCTCTTTGTTATTCAAATGAGGGAGGAAAGCAAAATTTTAAGGAGATGGTTTTAATTAGCAAATAAAATAACAACATCTTATACTTGCAGACCACTAGATCTGAAATTGATTTGCAAATAGGATTTTGTTAATCCTTCCAACGTTTCCTAAAATAGGGTTGTGGAAAACGTTATTCTGCTTTTAGATGGAGAAGTGGGCTCTGCAAGAAGCAGTGGCCATAGATTGAAAGACCCTTCAAGAGGCGACTGCTTAAATTCCTTGTAAACATCACTTGAAATGAAAACCAGAACGAGGCTGCTTCTCCATGAATCACTAGCACCCAGATGTGGCAAAGTTAACTGGAGAACTTCCTTGCTCTGACTTCCAGATGGCTTGAAAGAAAACAATGTCTTTATCACTGGAGTGTTTCAAATCAGTTGTGGATAGGTCAAAACTTCCTGCTACATGGGGGTGGTGTCAGAATGAACTGGGCCATTGTTTCTGCACATGGATCTTCAGGATTGTTCTGAGATGGGACTGGAACGAGCTAAACCATGAGCATGAAATTCCAGAGATGAGGGGGAAGTCCTAGAGGAGCTTACTAAGAACTGACCTTTGGTTCCAAAGGTGGAATTGAAGCAGGCTCCTGCCCTTCTGAACAACCGGGCCCTTCACGCATTGAATGGTGGCCCCCACAAAAGACACGTCCACGTCTTAATGCCCAGAACCTATGAATTATCATATTTGGAAAAAGGGTCTTTGCAGATGTAATTAAGTAAAAGATCTCAAGATGAGACCATCCTCGATTATTCCGAGAGGCCCTAAATCCAATGTCAAGTGTCCTTGCAAGGGACAGAAGAGGAGAGACCCAGAGAGAAGAGAAGGCCGTATGAAAATGAGGTGGAGATATGCACCCAGCAAGACCAGGAACGCCTTCAGCCACCAGAAGAAGGAAGAGGCAAGGATGGATTCTCCCCCAGGGCCTTCAGAGGACGCATAACCCCGTCAACACCTGGATTCTTGATTTCCAGCCTCCAGAACTGTGAGAGAATAACCTTCTTTTGTGGGAAGCCACCAAGTTTGTGGCACTTAGTCATGGCAGCTAGGAAAATTAATATAGGCCCTGACACAGAGAACACAGATGACCAAGACAAAGAAAGCCCTGTGTCACCTTCTAGTCTCTAAAGACCCACTAGGGGAGAGGGAGGAGCGGGAAGACAGAAGAGGTGGGGTGGCAACCTGTTGCCATCACGAGTGATGGCCAGGGCTTTCTAACAGAAGCAAGGTTGGGAGGACTTTTCTGACCACCTGCGCTGGTGACCTGGATGGAAAGGACCAGCACATCCACCATCAGTGGGGCTTAGTCCAGACATCTCCTCAGCTGTCCCAGAGAGCAGACGACAGGTATGCCAGACTTAGGGTCCCAAAAGTTGGGGTGTGGTGTCCTAGTCAGAGCAATTGGGCCTTCTGGATTGGTCCCAGACACAAATGACACACAGACCCTTTAACGACACACAGCTAAAGTTCAGTCACACTCTTGCATTTCAAACTTAGGTGACTGAGCCTGAATTCAAGTTCCTTGCATTAAAATCAAGATGAATTGGCCATTTTTATCTTTAAGACCCTCAGGCTTCAACTAATGTAGCAGAGTGTGGCAACTAAAAAAGGCTTGTCTCATAACACATGATTTATTTGGGAGGAGGCACCCAGGTCCCAAAAGGAGGTTTTCCCAGGACTCCAGGAAGTACTTTTAGGATTTTTAAATTAGGAATAATCTTAGAAATAGGGAAGAAGGACTCATGTCTGATGTGATCACCATGCAGGCACCAAGCCCTGCCACAGGAAGACAGTCACAAATTGGGTAAGCTCTTTGAACACTGGGGACTCATCTGTTCAGAGCAGAACCTACCTGTTCTGAACTGACATTATTCCTGGAGGCTGATTTCATAGCCTTTTTTTTTTTCTTTTTTTCTTTCTTTTTTTTTTTTTTTTTTTTGATGCAGAATCTTGCTCTGTCACCCAGGCTGGGGTGCAGTGGTGGGATCTCAGCTCACTGCAACCTGCACCTCCCAGGTTTTAGTGATTCTCCTGCTCAGCCTCCTGAGTAGCTGGGATTGCAGGTGTGCATCACCACGTTTGGCTAATTTTTATATTTTTGGTAGAGATGGGGTTTCACCATGTTGGCCAGGTTTGTCTTGAACTCCTGGCCTCAAGGGATCTGCCCACCCACCTTGGGCTCCCAAAGTGTTGGGACTACAGGCCTTAGCCACCATGCCCAGCCCTGATTTCATAGCTTTAAAAGTACACGGTGTTCACCAAAAGTGTTTCTGAATTAGGTAGAGTTTGTGATAGGGGCTAGAAGGATATGACAAGGAATACAGCAGTTTAAAAGGCACGTGTAGTCTATTTAAAATAAGGATATGATCTGATCAATTAATGCTTTAAAAATACAACTGAAATACTCAAATTAAAAACTCAATGGAGAGTACAGAAGAAAGAATGGATGAACTTGAGAGAACAACAGAAATTAACCAATCTGGACAATAGAGAGAAAATAGACTAAAAAAAGAAACAGAGCCTTGGGGACTTGTGGGACTATAACAAAAGATCTAATTCTCATGTCCTCTAAGTCTTAGAAGGAGAGAATAAAGAGGAAGATCCTGAAAAAGTATTCAAATAAATAATGGCTGAAAATTTCCCAAGTTTGGCAAAAGACATCAACTTACAGATTTGAGATGCTGAGCAAATCCTAAACAGGATGGACTCAAAGAATCTCATGCCAAAACACAGCATAATCAAATTCCAGGAAACCAAACACAAAGTAAAATCTTGAAATTGGTGACAGCAAAACAATACCTTCCCCCAGGGGGAGAAGCAGTTTGAATGACAGCAGGTATCTCAACAGAAACTATGGGAGCCAGAAGGAAGTGGCACAACATTTTCCAAGTGCTGAAATAAAAGCTGTCAACCTTGAATTCCATATCTGGCAAAAGTATCCTTTAGGAAAGAAAGAAAAATAAAGATGTGCTCAAATAAAGGAAAATTAAGAGAATGTCTTGCCGTCAAGCCTACCCTAAAAGAAAGCCTCAGGGAAGTTTGCTAAACAGAAAGAAAATAGAAGACTCTTGGCCCATCAGGAAGGAAAGAGAGTGGAAAGAATAAAACATGGGACATGCTGCTTTGCAGCCATGAGTCACCAAGCAGGAGTAAAGTCAGTCTGAAACTGGTTTGCTGGAGAGACTGCCCTGAGATAGAGAGATGTGGTCAGGAGAATTCCAGTGTGGCTCTCTTGAGTACCAACTTCTAGGATTCAAGCTGTACGATCTCCTTCACCTGAGAGTGGGCAGGACCTGTCAAAAGCAAATCATCCTGGGTGGGTACCAGCTAATCAGAGGAGCCCCATAAAGATGGACCAGGGGTTAGAGACATTCTCCTACTGATGCTGAAGAAGCAGCCACCTTACAAGGTTCAAAACTGCCACAGTGAAGGGCGGACTCTAGGAGTTGAGGGCTGCAGTTATAGAACTGCAAGGAACTAAATTCTCCTAAGAACTTGAATGAGCTTAGAACAGGACTTCAAACTCCAGATGAGCATGCAGCTAGCCAAGAGGACCCAGACTCCTGACCCATGGTAACTGTGAGATAACAAATACATGTTGCAGTAAGTCACAGATACACACACACACACACACACACACACACACACACACAGAGGCATTAAAAATAAAGATATGATCCAAGTCAATTGATTATTATACTAAGTATAGGTCATCATTTTGCATCAATAAAATAACACCTTCAGTGATGTCAACTCAGTGGAAACATTTTGTCCATCAGTTCTTGCACAGGGAATCAAAATTTGCAATTTATACTTATTTATTTTTAAATGGCAAAAAAGTTCAGTTATATGAACATGATTAGTAATATCCCCAAATTACTCAGATATCCACCAGCATATAAACTGTGCTATAACCACAAAGAGAGCACTGTGCAGCCGCGAAAAAGAGTGCTCCACCCCTACCTGCGACAAATCCCACAAACACCATGTTTAGCTAATGAAGCCAGCCACAAAAGTCTATATGCGACAAAATTCAATTTACATAAAGTACAAACACAAATCTATGGCAACACTAATCTATGTTATTTCAAGTTAGAATTGTGATTGGTTTTGGAAGGAGTCCCTCTGGGACTGACTTATCTGGTGCCGGTAATTCTGGTGCCTGGCTTCCTGGATGTGTTTAGTTTGTACACATTTATATGTAGACTCTTGTGTATGTATATCACATGTCACTAAAAGGTTTCCAATGACACAGTAACAGCTTCCATTATGAAAATGAGCAGTTTGCATTTGCTGTGAGGCATGGTCTCGTTGCTCTGCCTGAGCTGGAAGCTCTCCCTGTAAGAAGCAGGCCATGACACTAATGACACATTCCACACGGATGCCTCCCCATCTGCATTTGTGACCCAGGCCGTGACATGATGACGGAAAAGGTCACATCATCCCCACCCTGCCATGAGCCGTGGCCTATGGCAAGCTACTGGGGCTAACACCATAGATAAACCATCTTTTCTCTATTTACAACCACCGACAATAGAATGCACATTCCTCCCTTGCTCTCTGGAGTAGTGACCGGAGCTTAGTACCTTCGGTGTCAGGTAGGACCCCCAGGATGTAGGAAAGAAGGGGACTGTGGAAGAAAGACTCAGCTAAGTTGTTCCAAGCGATCAAGAGGAAGTCAGGGTGAGGCACCCCAGTCACTCTCCTTTGCCCTGAGCCCGGTTCCTGCACTGCCTCTGCCTGTTGTGAGAACTTGGGGAGCCACTCTGTCCACTCCAGTCAGCGGCTGGAGTTTGGAGGGTGGGAAGAAGAGAGGAGCCAGGGAATGACCACCCCTACCACTCCCAACAGTATCTCCGTGTGCAACCAAACCCCCCCACACCCCAAATTCATTGGTGTCAGTGAACTCTGGAGCATTAATTTACGTATAAAATCTCAGGGGAATGGCCCAAACTCTCTGGCTGATTGGCAGCCTCGCTGACCTCTGCTCATTCACTTGACTTCTGAGTGGCGGTCAACTCTATACCTTGGCCAAGAGATTCATGTGGGCACCCACCCCAGTGGGCATCACCCCTCACCTTACACAGCAGGCACTTGCTCCTCCATCAGTAATCTCAGTGCAGTGGACTTAGAGTGATTTTGTGGAATTTTTATGGGTGCGTGGCAGTGGGATGGAGGTGTTGTACATGCCACCAAAGTGATAACTCCAGAACGGCCATCGTGTTGAAACCTGTAAAAACTGGCATCTCAGCAACACGGCAAAACCCCGTCTCCACTAAAAATACAAAAAAAAAAATTAGCCAGGCATGGTGGTGCCTGCCTGTAATCCCAGCTACTAGGGAGGCTGAGGCAGGAGAATTGCTTGAACCCGGGAGATGGAGGTTGCAGTGAGCCGAGATCAAGCCACTGCACTCCAGCCTAGGAGACAGCAAAACTCCATCTCCAAAAAAAAAAAAAAAAGAAGGAAAGAAAAAGAAAGGAATAAAGAAAAGAAAATTGGAGTTTCAGGGGTGGTCTTTCTGTCATGTTGGTGCCCATGTGCCCGGCTTCAGAACGGCTGCCGCCCTGGGCAGGTTAAGATGTCAGATGCGGTTGATCCCAAGAGCCACCCCGTCCCGCCACTCTGCTGACTTCTCAGCGGCTCCCCTGACCATGCCAGGGCACTTCAGGGATGCCCATGGGTCACAGATCTCTGGGTGTGTGTCTGTTCAAAGAGTCAACGCTGAGCTCCGAGGGACGCAGGATCTCACATCTACAGGGGCGGGCTTAGACATGGCCATGCCCCCCGGAGCACCTGTGACTCCAGGACAGGTAGCAGGTGCTTCCAGATAGTTCTTCCTCCTCCACTAGACAAATGGAGAACCTGAGGTGGACTGTGTTCCATGGAGAGGACTCCCTGTTACAAAAGGTCTGCAGCCAAATTTTCAAATAGCAGTTTCTTCTAGTTCCTTCAGCTTTTCTTAGATAAGATTCTGTTGATAACAATCGCCACCACAAAAGGGTCATCAGCTGCTCAGAGTCACAGGTACTACAGAGAGTGTCCTAGACACCCACCTGCATTTTGGAAGGTAAATTGGACAAGAGTGAAAGACAGAAGACCTGCCTTGCAGACGTGGTTTATTTGACTTGGGGATGAAAATGCACCAATACAAGGCCTGGTTGCCTTTTTTAATCACCTAGAATAACAGATTTGTCTCTGAAAACCGAAATTAAATCTTTACTTGTTTGCCATCCTTCTTCATTCTTTCAGATTTCCGTTTCAAATAGCAAGAATACCATATATTTGAAGCCCTGTTTTTTCTCGTCTGTTTCAAATAGCAAGGCTAGTATATATTTGAAGCACTTTTTATTTTATTTTTATAATTGCAACAAAGATAACACAGATCAGACTTTAAGATTTGTGGAAGAATCAACATATTTATTTCTCAAGTTATTGGTCCTGATCCAACGCCTGAAAGATGATTTGGTTGTCCTACATGGGGCATGTTTTCGTCAATACTTAAAGCCTTCATCGTAGCACTGAATAGAGAATGTTTGAATTGACTAATCATTTCACATTCCTTGAAGTATTTTTAATTGAAAAAGGCAGTACAATTAGTGTGAGGAGACTTTCAAAAACTTTTAGAGGAAGCTGATATCTGATTGTTATGAGAAGAAAAAACACTGTTCTAAAATTCTTAAAATAATAAAGTTAACTTTAAATTTCAAAACATAGTAGGTAATCTGTTTCTCTCTGGTATTTTAATGTCAGGTTTGAAGAGGTAGCAGTTATTTCTGGGAGGGGGAATAAACTATTCTCTCTTCAATCAGCTCAAAATTACTTTCTTTTTAGTTACTGTGCTTGTTTTATCAGCTACTACTCCACTGGTTTTACCATGTATTATTTTTTATTTTAATTTTTGCCCTAATGTTAATGATGGCAGCTCCAAAGACAGGTGAGAAAACTTCATGAGAAAAAATATGATACATTTCCAAACCCCCAATTGTCCCCAGATGTGACCTGGCAGCCTGTCTGTTCTGTGTAGGGATACACTTGATGAAGTCTTAAGAACACTGCCCAAGAAACACTATTTGCTGGAGAGATGCGTGCTAGTGAGATGCTCCCCTCTCCAGTACAGCTTGGGAGGTGGGGTTTTCATTATTAATTACAAATTGCCTCTGGGACGGCGGAACTTAGGGAAGGAGTTAGTGAATAAAAATGTGGTGAAGCAAAGAATGGAGGAGGGCTTTGACACTGCAGCGAAGAGGATTTGGGGCTAATGAGAGCAAATGATGACGACCATAAGCTTTTACTAGGAAAAAGCCCCCGCCTGATTTTTCCTTTCAAAAATGCCTTCCATAAATGGTGGAAATCCTATAAATATCCCCTCCACAAATCGGCTGGAGGAAGACACAGCGGGAAGAGGGGGTTTGTGTAGCTTGTGGTGGAGTGGAATTCCTCGGCCCCAATTCAGAACCGTTCCCTGTGGGATCCTTCTGCTTTAAAGTGGTCCGCGGGTGGGGCTCCCAGAGTATCCATGTTCTGAGCCAAGCTGATTATCTCTGCTTTTTATCTACAGACGGAAATAGGAGCAATACACACAAAATTAGCTCCATAAATAAATGCTGAGGTCTACTTGCCCGGTCCTCTCTGGCCCAGGAGGCTGTGGGACGTTCTCTGGTCTCTTTCATCTCTGGTTGTGGCTGGTTGGCCCAGGACACAGGAAACTCGTGTTTTCTGCCATCAGAGAAGTGCTCTGGTGGCCTCCGTCCATTTTCCCTGGGGGAGAAAAATTTACTTTGTACTAATTGGCCTCCTTCTTGGCAGCACTGGTGCAATCGTAGCAGTCCCCTGAGCTGAGACTGAGTTCTCCGTGGAAAGGAGAGAAGGTGACAGGCGGCTTGGCTCAAGGACACAAAGCTAAGGGATGAGGGCATGTACTTTCTGGAACCTTCTCAGCAACTGGCTGGTCCTAGGACAAAACCTGTCATCAAAGTCCCTTGCTCAGAGCTGCTCCAGGTGGCGTCTCTCTCCCCAGACACCATTCCCGCACCCAGCGGCACAGGATCCCAGGGCAACGTGTGCTGCCTTTCTCTAAAGCACCATGCAAACTGCAGGTCAAAGGATGCTCCTTCCAGCAGGTATTTCAAATTTCGTAAACAGTCCTTCCCGACTGTGCTGTGCTCATAAAGCAGTCATCTATATGGAAGAAAAGAGGAGGACAACAGAAGTCTTCCACAATTTACCACTCAAAGGTAACTGTGGCAATATTGTGGCAGCGTCACGCTTGTTTAAAAAGAGCCTTGCAGTTATTTTTTATATTCAGTAACATAACCTGCTTTTTTTTTTACTTCACATTATCCCATGTACATTTTCTCCTGTTATTAAAAACTCTCAAACAGTTTATACTGACAGTATAATATTTCATCACTTAGCTTTCCATTATTTATTTGAAGACATCTCTCAGATGATGGACATTGTAGTTACTCTTAGATTTCATTATTATAAATGAGGTGGTGAGGAACACCTTCAGGCATAAATCATTGTCTCCGTTCTTTATTATTCCCTCAAAGTCGATGATTCATCACGGCATTACTGGGTCAAAGGTAATGGACATTGGATCATTTTTAACACATAAATTTCCAAATTGCTTTCCAAAAGCACTCTAGCACTTTGTAGCCTCACTCTTGCCAAGGATCTAGGAGGCTACCCAGCCCCTCCCCACCTGACTCCCAGCACTGGGCATTCACATTTTTAAAAACCTCTGCTTATGAGAACACTGCTTTGATCTGCGTTTCTCTGACCATCAGTAATGTTAGGCACATTTCTAATTTACTCATCCCACATTTTACACTATTATTATTGTGGGGAAGCTTTTAATTAGCAATAATCGCGCCTCAGATAAACCTCATGGGCTATGATATTACCACTGTGCAAAGCTGTGCACTATGATTATTTTAAAATTAACTCTTTAATCTTAATATTTGGGGTTGTATACAGTAGATAATGTGTTTTTCTAAATAGCCAACCAATTATATGAACACCACTTACTGTCTAATCCTCCAAGTCGTCCTGGTTTGTGATCCATTTTTTGTCGAATATTCACTTCGTTTCTCTCTTTCCAGGTTATCTCTCCTGCTCTGTGAAGTCTGTCTGTCCTTGGATCAGAACAATGTAAGGATTGTGGATATAATTTCCCTGCACGCCGACATTCGGCCTTACTGATGAGGTGGGTACCACCATCTCACTGTATACCCTTCATCTTGTATCTGTTGTTTTTGGTGATTTTTAATCCCGGGTAGCTTTCACATTTTTCTCCTTATCCTTGTGTTTTGCAGTTTGTTATGCTGTCTTCACAGGAATTGGTTTCTAGTTATCCTGTCTTCCCGGGTAGCTTTCACATTTTTCTCCTTATCCTTGTGTTTTGCAGTTTGTTACGCTGTCTTCACAGGAATTGGTTTCTAGTTATCCTGTCTAGGACTTGAGGATATTTTAAAACCACACCATGTATGTCCTTCAATTCTGGAAAAACTTCAGGCATTACCTCTACAAATATTGACTATTCCAGAGTCTCACTGTTCTCTTTCTAGAACTTCTATGAGGTGCCTATTTAAGCACCTCATCTTGTTCTCTCTGTCTCTTAATTTCTCATATGTGTTTCCATTTCTTTATCTCACTGTGCTGCAGGCTGACGAGTTTTCAGGTTTCTTCCCCCAGTTTTCTGCAGTCATGCGTCACTTAATGATGGGAATATGTTCTGAGAAATGCATCGTCAGATGATTTTGTCATTGTGTGAACATCAGAGCGCGTGCTTACACAGACCTGGATGGTGTGGCCTCCTACACCCCTAGGCTATGTGGTTTAGCCTCTTGCCCAGGCTACAAACCTAGACAGCATGTGACTGCACGGAATACTGTAGGCAAGTGTAACACAATGGGAAGTATTTGTGTATCTAAACATAGAAAAGGCATAGCAAAAACACTGTTGGCCAGGCGCAGTGGCTCACGCCTGTAATCCCAACACTTTGGGAGGCCAAGGAGCGTGGATCACGAGGTCAGGAGTTTGAGACCAGCCTGGTCAATATGGTGAAACCCCATCTCTACTAAAAATACAAAAATTAGCCAGGTGTAGTGACGCGCGCCTGTGGTCCCAGCTACTCGGGAGGCTGAGGATACAGGAGAATCGCTTGAACTTGGGAGGCAGAGGTTGCAGTGAGCCAAGATCGTGCCACTGCACTCCAGCTGGGCGACAGAGCAAGACTCCATCTAAAACAAAACAAAACAAAACAAAAAACACAGTGTAAAATATGAAAAAGAATGCATCTGTTGTCTAGGGCATGTACTGTGAGTGGAGCTGGCAGGACTGGGAGTTGCTCTGGGTGAGTCTGTGAGTGAGGGGTGGTGAATGTGAAGGTCTACACTGCTGGAGTCTTTATAGACACTGCACACTTAGGCTCAACTACATTTATAAAAATATTTTTTTCTTCAATAATAAATTAACCTGAACTGGCTGTAACTTTTTAACTTTATAAACTCTTACTTTTTAACCTTTTTGACTCTTCTGTAATAACACTTAGCTTAAAACACAAACACGTTGTACAGCTCTACAAAAATATTTTCTTTCTTTATATTCTTATTCTATAAGCTTCCTTCTGCTTAAAAAATTTTTACTTTAATTTTTCACTTTTTAAATTTTTGTGCTAAAAATCAAGCTACGACACATTAGCCTAGGCTTACACAGGGTCGGGGTCACCCATACTACTGTCTTCCACCTCCACCTCTTGTCCCACTGGTGACGCGTGGAGCTGTCACCTCCTATATGACAATGTCTTCCTCTGGATACCTACTGCAGGACCCACTGAGGCTGTTTTACAGGTAACTATTTTTCTATTTTTTAACAAATGGAAGGAATATACTCTAAAACAACGACTCAAAGTATGATACAGTAACTACATAAACCAGCAACATCATCATTTGTTATCATTATCAAGTATTACGGGATGTACATAATTCTATGTGCTAGACTTTTAGACGACTGGCACGCAGTAGGTTTGTTTATACCACAAACACGTGAGGAATGTGCGGTGCCATCGAAATCACCAGGCGATAGGAGTTTTCAGCTCCATTATCCTCTTCCGGGACCACGGTCGTACATGCGGTCCATGACTGGGCTTCCCACTTCAGCGACATCACGTCGACTCTCGGAGGTTTCTTTTTACCTAGGTTCTTTTATAAACCTAGGATTCCTTCTTAATTATGTTTCACGTTTGCTGATTCTTATTTCATAATTGCCTATTCTTGCTTTAAGGATTTTTGTAGTTTGAATGTATGTATCCCCCCAAAATTCTTGTGTTGGAGCTTGACTCTCAAGGGGTTGCTATGAAGAGTTGGGGCCCGTGGGAGGTGATTAGGCCCAGAGGACCCCAGTCTCATGAACGGAATTAATGTCCTTATAAAATAGACTTCAGAGAACTGCCTCCAGCTTCCACTCTGCTGGCATGTGAGGACACAGCCTTTGGTCCCCTCGTCAAGTGAGAGAGAACACGGCGTCTGTCCTCTCCACAGGGCACAGCAGCAACAAGGCGCCATCTTGGAAGCAGAGAGCAGCCCTCACCAGACACCAAGTTTACTGGCCCTTGATCTTGGACTTCTCAGCCTCCAGAACTGGGAGAAATAAATTCCCATTGTTTATAAATTACCCAGTACATGGAATTTTGTTACAGCTGCAGGAATGGACTCTTTCCCTTCCTTTAGCTCTTTGAATATTTAAAGTGTGTCTAGTTTACAGTTTCATTCAGATTATTCTATTAACTTTAGTTCCTGGGGTACAAATATTCCCATTCTGGGGCAATGGACCCTTTGGTCTATTTTAGTTGACACTGGGCTCAGCTGTAGCTACTTCTCATCCGTGAGCATGGTTTTCAGCCTTCTGTCTCCACACTCTGAGCATAGAAGTGTGACTTTGGGCCTCACACCTGCACACAGCACAGGCTGAGCTTCTTCTCACTTCACAGCCTTTTAAAGGATTTCTTCTTCCAGGCTATGACCTGTGGCCAAAACACAGATCTTTCTGCTCCCTCCCTGCTCACGCTTGGAAACTTCCAAACTCTCCTCTCCTAGATTCAAACAAGAAGAGAAATTCCGGATTCTTTCTTCTCATGGTCATTTGAACCCCTCCTACTGTGAGAACTCCAGCCCACCTGCACACCCTCTTTGGAGCACACCACTGAGACTCCTGTTCACTGCTCCAACTGAGAGCTTCCTCTTGATTTCTGGGAACTGGTTTCCCTTTCTTGCTTTTTTGTCTTGGCTCAATTTTTAAATTTAAAGAACAGGTGCAGTGGCTCACACCTGTAATCCCAGCACTTTGGGAAGCCAAGACAGAAGGATCCTTTGAAGCCAGGAGTTTGAAACAAGCCCGGACAACACAGCAAGACTCCATTTCTACAAAAAAAAAAAAAAATAATTATCTGGGTGTGGTGGCATGCACCTGTAGACCCAGCTACTCAGGCTGCTAAGCTGAGAGAATCACTTTAGCCCAGAATTGGAGGCTGCAGTGAGTTATGATGGCACCACTGCACTCCAGCCTGTGTGACAGAACAAGACCATCTCAAAATAAATAAATTTAGATCAGCAGTTTTAAGTGTTTGGAGAAGACTGGACAAATCTCATGACTGTTGGATCCTTTGTAATGACTATAAATCTACTTAATTTTTGTGGATTCAAAAGTGCTGTAACATCCATTTGGGCTAGGCCTCCTCCATCTCTTCCTTATCTTCACTTCCCATTCTTTCCTTTCTTATCTTTCTTTTCCTTTCCTTATTTGTTGAAGCCATTTTCACATGACTTCCAAATGCACTTATTTTTGTGAAGTTAGAGAAATCCTATACGAATTTTAATTTGAATTAAGTAATTTATATGTTTGTAATATTTAGTCTTCTTATCTAGAAACATGCTGTAGGAAATTGTGTTTCCTGTCCACTCCTCTTTATCTTCTCTTATCCTTCCTTATTTTGTGAAGTTAAAATCCTGTAGGAATTTTAATTTGAATTAAGGAATTTGTATGTTTGTAATATTTAGTCTTATCTAAAAACATGGTGTAATAAATTTTGTTTCCTGTTCACTCTTCTGTTGTCTCCTCTTTTCCTTCCTTGCATCCCTCCCTTCCTCCTATTGTGCTTCCAAATGTTCACTAGAATGTGAACTACTTGGGTAATGTTGAAGAATCCTATTGACTTGGATACTCAGGTACAAACATCCCTCAGTATCCAATGGAGACTTATTCCAGGACCCCCAAACAGACCAAAATTTAAGGATGCTCAAGTCCCTGATATAAAACGGCATAGTATTTACACATAACCTACACACATCCTCCTGTTTGCTTTAAATCACCTCTAGATTATTTATAATTCCTAATACAGTGTAAATGCCCTATAAATAGTTGTTATATTGTATTGATTTTATTTATATTATTTTTAATTTTCATATTACTATATTTAATTGTTTTTCCCAGTATTTTTTATCCTCAGTTGATTGAATCTGCAGATTGGAAACCCTGGAATACAGAGGGCTTAATGATATTTTCACATCACTCAGGAAAGTTTTCTTCTATTATAACTTTGATTTGCTTTTTTTTTCTTTTTCTAGAAATTATTATTTTTCATAAGTTGGATCTTTATTCTGTCTTCTCTGTCTATCATTATCTCTCCCATCATTTTCTTATTTTTTATTCTTTATATCTGCATTTCGAGATGATGTTTTAAAAGCTTGATTATTTTCACCATGAATTCAACTTTCAGCATTGTGAACTCAGCCTTTACAGTTCCTAGGGCAGACTACAGAACGTGTGGCTTCACTGTGGTCTCTTCTTACTGCAGCCAACAGCTGCCATGCCAAGGTCCTTCCCAGCCCTCCCTTCTCTAGGCTCCATATTCCCCTGGTGGGTGCAGACCCAGAGTTAGGAGTAAACAGATGGGTAGCGGGCGAGATGGAAGGACTCCATCCTCTTCCTGCATCACACCTGCTCTCTTCCGAGGGAAGCACGCTCTGACCACCATTTGTGTTTCTCAGGCCACCTTCTTTGGTGCCATGGTTGCTTCAGGTTCTTCCTCGCTGCAGTGTCCCCTCTTCATTACACCCCTGGCCTCCTTCACTGTCCAGAAGGACTGTGAGAACAACCCTAGCTCCAGAGAGAACAAGCCGACAATGAAGCGACCTCACACCTGGCATCTGCTGGAAAATGGGGCAACACGGTCCTTGCCCTTCTTGTCCAGGCATCTTTTAACCTCAGAATGGCCCAGGTGGGCTCCGTGAGCTCCCTCTGGACCGCTTCCCTCTGCGGCTGCTCATCTGACCCTGCCCACCCCGTCCTCCTCCTGTGGACCCCAGCCTTCGTTCTTGCTCTATCCGGGATGGGGGATGGAAAAGCCCATCTGAACACACTTCGAAATGAGGGATAATCTTAGCTTTCTGAACTTTATCAAGTTATGGGGGGAAATCAGATCTCCAGAAGGAGGGAGAGTGCTTCTTAGAAAGGAAGAGAGCTGGAAAGACAAAAAGACAGAGTGTCCTCCCCCAACCTGGCCAAATTTAGAATTGGATATCGGTTCTTTACCAAACAGCCCGTTGAATCAGCTAATTAAATGACAAACATTAGCCAATGGACTGTTGGTGTCATGTAGTTCAAACACCTGTTTAATCTATTGAATTCTTCATCTTGCAACCTATTGTTTTTCCATTTTTTATTAAGGCGTGATTTCCATTCAGTAAAATTTATCCTTTTCAGTCTTGATAAATGTATACTGTCGTGTAACCACCACACAATCAAGACATAACATGATTCTGTCACCTTCCTCACCTAAATTTCTAATGTATCTAAACCTTACAATCAAGTAAAGACACAGAGAGTCGTTCACTGAAAATGAGATCTGGCCTTAAAAGTAGTTCTTGTGGACAGAGATTCTCCCAGTTACCTTCCCGTCTCATTTACACTGAATTTGCTCAAAATGTGAGAATGTCAGGAAGAAGGTGCATGTGCGTGCGCCTGTGTGCTTAATACCGGCAACACTAATTCAACAAAATTGACTTCAAAAGCCACCCAAGTGTTCTGTCGCCTGCCAGCGTGCATTGCACAGCCCCGCGTCCTTGTGGTGCCCACCCAGGTTGAGCCGAATGAAGCCCTTTTCCGGAGCAGCAGTGCGCAGTGGGAGTTATTGTCAGAGGGAAGGGCACAGAAGGGAAAGGTTACAGGAGGATGGGAGGGAACCAGGACTTAGTGAGAAGCTGATGTGGAGCAGGGAGTGGGCAGGGCAGGGGTGGTCCAGGGACAGAGAGGCAGGCACGGACATGAAGGGGACCTGCAGGCTCTGTGATGTCAGTGGGCACAGTGACCAGCTGTCCTCCTGCCACACAGGCAGTGCTGGGCAGGGGGTGTCCTACTGCGGCATCCCGGCCAGGATGGCAGGGCCCCAACAAAGGTCATTGCCACCTTGCTTTTTTCTCTCGTCAACATACATGTATGATCACTCACGTGTTTCCTCTCTGCAAACATCCTCCCCATAAAGCAGGGGTACTAACACCTCCAGAACAAAACTGCAGCACCAGAGACCTCTCAGGTTAAGTTTTAAACTGAGCCAGAACCCTATGATAATTTTGCGATTCTCATAAAAGAGTAGTGTTTTTAAGCTCAAAGAGCCCGGAGGCTGAGGAGCTTGATGACAGTTCTCAGAATGGAGGTGAGCAGGAAGACGCTGCCTCCCAGCTCCCCGGCAGGTGCTCGCCTGCATTAGACTTGCAGACTTAGCTCATTTGACCCTGGAGAGCCCAGCCTGGCATCTGCCGTCTACACATGGGATCTCCCACAGACTCACCTCTTTCCAGGAAAGGTGATGCTGACCAAGAAACACTGATATTTCAAAGCCTACAAACTGAGCCTTGGACAAAATCAGCCTCCAGCTGCCTCTTGACTTTATTACCAAACGAACCGTGCAACAAATATCATGAAAATGCCTTTGAACTAAAAGGAAAAAAATGTTTATGCAATTCAGGGTGTTTCATTAAGGCACGGTTTGCATTCAGTAACATTCATCCTTTTTACTTTTGACAAATGTCCACAGTTGTGTGACCACCACCACGGTCAAGATGTAAATTCTGGCAAATTCTGGCACGTGGCATGGCATAATTGAAAGCCAAGGCCAGCTCTCCCTGTGGGGCTGGTTAGGGTGGCAGCACGTGGCATAGCATCATTGAAGGCCACGGCCAGCTCTCCCTGTGGGGCTGGTTAGGGTGGCAGCACGTGGCATAGCGTCATTGAAGGCCACGGCCAGCTCTCTCTGTGGGGCTGGTTAGGGTGGCAGCACGTGGCATAGCGTCATTGAAGGCCACGGCCAGCTCTCCCTGTGGGGTTGGTTAGGGTGGCAGCATGTGGCATAGCATCATTGAAGGCCACGGCCAGCTCTCCCTGTGGGGCTGGTTAGGGTGGCAGCACGTGGCATAGCGTCATTGAAGGCCACGGCCGGCTGTCCCTGTGGGGTTGGTTAGGGTGGCAGCACATGGCATAGCGTCATTGAAGGCCACGGCCGGCTCTCCCTGTGGGGCTGGTTAGGGTGGCAGCACGTGGCATAGCGTCATTGAAGGCCATGGCCGGCTCTCCCTGTGGGGCTGGTTAGGGTGGCAGCACGTGGCATAGCGTCATTGAAGGCCACGGCCAGCTCTCCCTGTGGGGCTGGTTAGGGTGGCAGCACGTGGCATAGCGTCATTGAAGGCCACGGCCAGCTCTCCCTGTGGGGTTGGTTAGGGTGGCAGCATGTGGCATAGCATCATTGAAGGCCACGGCCAGCTCTCCCTGTGGGGCTGGTTAGGGTGGCAGCACGTGGCATAGCGTCATTGAAGGCCACAGCCGGCTCTCCCTGTGGGGCTGGTTAGGGTGGCAGCTCTGATGGCATAGCGTCATTGAAGGCCACGGCCGGCTGTCCCTGTGGGGTTGGTTAGGGTGGCAGCACGTGGCATAGCGTCATTGAAGGCCACAGCCGGCTCTCCCTGTGGGGCTGGTTAGGGTGGCAGCTCTGATGGCATAGCGTCATTGAAGGCCACGGCCGGCTGTCCCTGTGGGGTTGGTTAGGGTGGCAGCACATGGCATAGCGTCATTGAAGGCCATGGCCGGCTCTCCCTGTGGGGCTGGTTAGGGTGGCAGCACGTGGCATAGCGTCATTGAAGGCCATGGCCGGCTCTCCCTGTGGGGCTGGTTAGGGTGGCAGCACGTGGCATAGTGTCATTGAAGGCCACGGCCAGCTCTCCCTGTGGGGCTGGTTAGGGTGGCAGCACGTGGCAGATGGCCTCAGGTCGCATCCTGTCAGTGGCTTTGGATAGTTACTGGATCTTTCTAAGGTTTCCATTTTCTCAGCCACAAATGGAGATGACAACATTGTCCACCTAAAGATAGATGTGAGAGGAGTTGACAGGAGGATGGGCAATGCCCAGGCACAAGGAACCATCGGCTCCTCCCAGCCATTTGCTTGCATGGAGAGGCTTTCATCTGTTAGCATATCCAGGAGCCCCCCTCCTCCCGGGGATTCTGCCATATCCTTCCACCAGAACCCAGATGAGACCCCCTGCGTGGAATGAGAAATAACAACACCACTGGTAACAGCAGAGCCCACTCTTTCATGGAATTCTGGGCTCCCTGCAGGTGCTAAGGATTTCACATAAATTAATTTGTTTAATCCACACCATGTATGCAGTAAGCATTACTCAATCTCCATGCTACATGTGAGAAAACTGTTGTATAGGGAAGGCCGTTTGCCCAGGAATTCACAGTGGCTAAGAGTGGAGCCTGAACGAGGGTCTGCGTTCTCACCCGTGACATGGTCCCCGTTTCAGGAGGGAGGGCGTGGAGGGGAGGCAGAAAGACAGGCTGGAAACCATGGCTGGAAACTCTAATTTATCTAGGAGGAATGATGTTTCTCATATAGGAAGTGAGAAGAACCCTTATAAAATGATGTTTATGAAACAACAAAAAATTAAAAATAGAAAAAGGAGTTGAATAGATATTCCTCCCAGAAGAAATAAAAATTCCAATAAGATGACGAAAAGATGCTCAACATCACTAATCATTAGGGAAATGTAAATCAAAACCACAAGGAGATACCACTTCACATTCATCAGGATGACTATTTTATATATATATATATATATAACAAAAACAAAAAAAACATGTAAATCACAAGTGTTGGCAAGGATGTGGAGAAATTGGAAGCCTTGTGCATTTCTGATGGGAACGTGAAATGGTGCAGCTGCTGTGGAGAACAGTATGGCGGTACCTCAAAAAATTAAACATACAATTACCAGATGATCCAGCAATTCCCCTGCTGGGCGTATACCCAAAATAATGCAAAGCAGAGGCTGAAATGGATACTTGCACACCGTATGTGGAACAACATTATTCACAATAGCCAAAAGGGGGAGGCAACCCGAGTGTCCACAAACAGATGAATGGCTAAACCAAATGTGGTCCATCCACAGAGTGGAGCATTACTCACCCTTAAAAAGGAAGGAAATCCTAGTACCTGCTGCAATGTGGATGAATTCTGAAGGCATTTATGCTATGTGAAATAAGCCATACACAAAAGAACAAATACTGGCTGGGCGCGGTGGCTCACACCTGTAATCCCAGCACTTTGGGAGGCCGAGGTGGGTGAATCACAAGGTCAGGAGTTTGAGGCCAGCCTGGCTAACACGGTGAGACCCCGTCCCTACTAAAAATACAAAAATTAGCTGGACGCGGTGGTGCGCCTGTAATCCCAGCTACTTGGAAGGCTGGGGCAAGAGAGTCACTTGAACCTGGGAGGTGGAAGTTGTAATGAGCCGAGATCGTGCCACTGCACTCCAGCCCTGGGCAAAACAGCGGGACTCCATCTCAAAAAAAGAAAAAAAAAAAAAAAGAACAAATACTATATGATTCCACTCATATGAGGTCAAGTTCTTAGAGAGGGAGGGTAGAATGGTGGGTGCCACAATGGTGGGTGCTGGGGGCTGGGAGAGGGGAACTGGGCGTTTGTGTTTAGTGATACAGAGTTCAGTTTTACAAAATGAAAGGAGCTATGGAGAGGGATCCTGGTGATGGTTACATGACAATGTGAATGTTCTTAATGCCATTAAATGGTATACTTAGAACGGTTAAAAATGGTATATTTTATGTTATGTCTATTTTATCACAATTTCAAAAATGTATGTCTAATCCCAGCACTTTGGGAGGACAAGGTGGGTGGATCGCTTGAGGTCAAGAGTTCGAGACCAGTCTGGCCAACATGGTGAAACCCTGTTTCTACTAAAAATACAAAAATTAAGCAGGCATGGTGATGCACACCTATAGTCCCAGCTACTTGGGAGGCTGAGACAGGAGAATCGCTTGAACCTGGGAAGCAGAGGTTGCAGTGAGCTGAGGTGGCACCACTGCACTCCAGCCTGGGTGACTAGCAAAACTCCATCTCAAAAAAATAATAATAATAATTATGTCATGGGTCTCCTCGCAAGTGAGAGAGGGAGAGGGAGGAAGGGGAGAGGTTATCAAGGGCTCTCTCTGGCTTTTACTGGCCATTATCTCCTTTACGCATTTCTACATTTTTTAGTGCCTTTATGACAATCATATGCTGCTTTTACAATTAGAAAAGGAAAGAGGGTCACTTATTGAAGCCCCCTTACCTCCCACCTCTTCCCCTCCCTTCCACTGACCCTCCCTTTGTCTTCTTGAGTGCTTGTCCCTAAAGGTGGAAAAGATATTATTAGACCCATTTTGCAAAGGAGAAAATAGAGACTCTGAGAGGAAAAATGAATTACCCAAGGCCACAGCCCAGTACCTGGTGATGCCTGGAACCAGGCCAGATCCTGCTGGGGTCACCAGGACCCCACCCCGCCCCCTACCCCGCCCCCCCCCACCACCACCACCCTGCCTTCCTGCAAAGGCGAAATCACTGAACACCAAAATCCCCTGCTCATCATCCCTGCTGGGGCTATTTCTGTTTTAAATAGCTGGAGGCTTTGCCTAGCAGAGATTCTGTGAAATACAGCAGGGTGGTCATGTCTGGGGTGTGTCCCTGTACAAACCAGGCTCACCACTGCACCAGAAATCAGGTCTGCTCTGACCTGACCACACACACCCAGAACAGCAACGTTCTGACTTACATGATCCAGATAATCCCCGGCCTGCCCTCCCGCCCCGTGAGCATGGACACTACCGGAAGGGCGGCTGCGGGAGCTGGCCCGTCTGTGCTCATGGCTCTCTGCTATGTTGCCATTTCCAGGGAAGCATTTGCCGCATTTTGTGTTGATTGATGTCCCCCACCCTGCCCCCCTACCCCGGCATCACCTCAGACCCCTGCAGAGGCCAGGGCTGAAGCCCAGCTCCTTCAGGGACACAGGCGCTCCGATGCCTTTGACCAGCTGGGCACGGGCTGGCCCCACGTTTTCAGCACTCTCCTTTTTTTCTTAAATAAAAGAGCTGGCAGGGGAGGCAGTTTCTAGAGTGTTTGAATTGGCCCCATTTATAAATCTGTCCTTTTTTTTTCTCTTACGGATACTATAACCACAAACTGCATTCGCTTACAGTCACTTTTACACTTGGTTCTCTTCGGCTTATTATCTGCAATTCTAAGAGATGTCTGTGATAACTAAGCTGTTTCTACACACAGCCTTGCTGCGGTGTTGGAAGCCATGAGCCAACTGCGGGTGGGCTGGAGTCTGTGTGGTTCTGAGCGGCTGAGATGAGCCAGCCCCACTGCGCCTGGGTCCTACATCTACAAAACCGTGTTTTCCAGCTGGGAGAGACCAGGGCCCAGGGCTTCAAGAGCAGACAGGCAGGGAAATCCCTGGCCCAGGACCCTTGCTAGGCAGCCACCGGCCTCCTCAAACGCTCCCCCTTGTTGGCCCTTTGGCGGCAACAGTGTCTCCCTCTTCAATGGAGAAGACCGGGTCCTGCAGGGGACTTTTTAGCCGATTTTTTTCCCAGCTCGTATTGTGCAGGCTCTGAGCTGTGTTTATTTGGATCTTTCTGAAGAACCCTCTAACCGTATTCCATGTCTGTAGATGTGTTTGGCAGAGTTGTGCGGTTTTCATCTTCTTCTTTTTTAAGTTGCAAATGCTTAAAATTCTGCTGGCTTTTTAGCTCCCAAGGGAACCCCCCCATCTCCAGCCCCCATGTGCCGTTGCCATGGTGATCTCCCTTTCCCTTTAAAGTCTGGAATGCCGCATTCCATAAGATTTGCACAGAAAGTCGCTTGATCATAGGCAAAGGCCTGTCTGTCCGTCTCCAACATTCTGTATCAATAAACACGCTCTGAGACCCTCTCTCTGCCTTGCTGTTAGAAATCAGGCTTTGACCCTCATCTGAGGGACTCTGGAAGGGTCCAGGGCAAACGGGGTTCGGCCTGGTATTCGCAGATTGTCTCCCGTTCCCTTTCCTCGGTACATTAGCATTTTCATCTATCGTCACAAGAATATCAGTGTGAGTTAGAGCAGCGGTGCAATTATATATGCAGGGGAATGCAGCCCCAGGCTCCAAATATTGAATTTTACACAGATACTAAGGGCATGTAAAATGTTAAAGTACATTTAAGTCCTCAAATAAATAACTTTAATTACATAAAGAACTAGATTTCAAGGAAATTACGGTTATTTGCTATAGGAAATTAACCTCCAAGTCATGTTTACGACTTAATGGATAGTCATTTTGGGGAGAATTCTCTCTTCTTTGAGTCTACATGTTCAACCCTTTTCTGAAACAGGAATAGGACTAATTGCTCTTGAGTGAAAGATTGTTGTGTATTTTGTCTCAGATCAGATGGATGAAAGTAAACAAAAGATACAATGTTTCCTTATACAGAGAAGTTGCCTCCTCAAAAAAAAAAAAAAAATCCCACAATCAGAATAAAGCATCAGGAATAAGACCACCATTTTGTTATAACACAACATTCCTCTGTATTAAATAATGACGGGTTTTATGTTTGTTACTGAGCAGAGTTTTTTTTTTAATTATTTCAAGAGCATGTCCTTTAGTGTTTATAACTGGGCTGACTGTGATATTAAACAGCCAGGAGGTGTTAGCAGCTGATTAAAGGAGGGAAAGGAGACCCTGCTAATTATACGGCAACCTTAGAATCGGTTTCTCCCGCTGAACTAGAGGACAAGCCACACACCTGCAGAACTTTACCAGCAGGAGCAGTGCTGGGACCCAACTCAGGCAACCAGCTCTGCTAATGAACCCAGAAAAAGCACACAAACTTGTTTTCCCTCCAAGACAGAGACAACACAGTGGGGTTTTCAGAAGTGTGTGGTGTGGAAGCAGCCAGGTGTAGCCACTGCACAAATGCAGTGGGAACACTCTCGTATGATAAAATCAAAGACGATGTCGCCTGCTTCCACATGACAGATCCAGGAAACTGCAGGATAGAATCACGCTCGTGTGCCTGGGCAGGGAGAGCTGGTTCACCCATGTCTGAACACTGGGACACCAGTTCTCCTCCAAACATCTTGGACTACTTAAATGCAAAGGTGAGTCTGGGTGTGGCTGAATTTGTGCATTGAATTTCTTTAACAGTAAATGTCAAGTGGAATACGGCATCAAGCTAGTTTCAGGAAACTTTCCACTCCAGTTATTTTGTTTTCTAATTATATGATATACTTTCTATCACAAGGCCCACTAGGATTTTTAAGTCTGATTTTTTTTAAAAAGTATTTATTATATAACAAGTTGATGGGCCAAGCACCTTCATTGTAGCACTGTGGCCATGCTTTTTAGAAAAGTGTTCTCCATTGCCATGATTGTGTTTGCATATCTATGCATAAATATGGGCAAAATGTTGCGTAAAGTTAAGCATGTACTAGAATTAGAGAAAAAAATTCTCAATTCTAGAAATGTTTGGAGACAGAATACTCTTTCCATTGCTAATTTAATGCAGGTTTTAAAAATGTTCTATAACTTTACAAAATTACAGATGGAAAAGATTTTTGTCCTTCTTCTTTATCTAGACAAATTCAGGAAAGCCCGGAGGCCTGGTATAGATGTTTCATCAAAAATTTCACCGTGCTGTGTCAGAAATCAGAAGACAGAATTTAGAACCATCCCGTTTCCTCTGCAGAAAGCTTTTCAAGAAGATACACTCGGAATTAGCAATATTTCCACCAAAATATGAAGTGTAAAGAGAGCCTTCAATAAAGCCACAGGTTTGATGTTTTTTCTTTTTAAAAGGAAAAAAACTAATTTAAAATTATTTTTAAAAGAAAAAAACCACAAGATAATGAAAATGAAGTTATACCTAGGCTGATATTGCATTTGCCAATATTTTACTCCCACTGTTTAATCATTTTAATAGTTGCATTTAAGAGTTTAGGATATTCAAACCTCACCCAGCTATAGCAAAAAAAAGAAAGCTGTGTGATTTAAGTAGTGTCCTTTTCTGCATAATTTTAAATTAGTTTTTATTTTTAATTAATTGTGAAATTGCTGGTGAGGCTTTGGTGCCTTCTTAACTGCTATAATGAACAAATTCATTTAAACTTCAATTTAGCAATCTACAGTTTTCTAAGAGCTCAAATAAATGAAAATTCAAACATAATTTTAAAAAAGGATTCCATTAACTACAAAAGGGTCTATATCAAGTTTATTAGAAAGTATGGAATTGCTACAAGAACACATTTTCAATTTTATAAATTAGTTTTCAGAGGCTTAAGCAGAACAACACATAGAGAGAAAAAGTAGAAGTTTGTTGGTTAAAAAAAAAAATCCCATTCTAATGAACCGAGGCTATAGCTTAAAACACAGCCAAAGCTTTAAAGCTTGGTCGTCCAGATTTCTGTGTGACCATTTTAACACAGGGCATCTCTAGTTCCCAATGGAAATATTTCTTTTCCGGCACTTTCATTTTCTGAAACAATTTACTGGAGTTTCATAAAAAGAGAATAACAGCTTTGTGTTTCATTGTTGAGGATTTTACTTCACTTTACATAACTTTTCCTCATTTCACTTAGTGGCTATTTGAGGAGCTTGACTGAACTCTAGGTAACCTCTTAGGTTATGCCTGCTGGATTTCAGGGACCTGGAGCTGCTGGTGCTGGCAGGCCAGTGGTGACTCGGGGTGCCTGTCTGACCGCCTAGGAGCTGGGACTGGGCTCTCTGCGTACATACAACTGCATGGGGGACAGGGGACTTCTGCCTTTGTTTGGACAAAGGATGCGGTAAGACCAGAGAAAAGGAAGGCTTTACCTGTGGCTCTTTGCACTTTTAATACTCTAGAAGGAAATAGTGAGTCTACTTTAATGGAAAATAGCGAATCTTTTGCAGGACTCAAAAAAGGAAGTTTGCTAAGAGCAAGGAAATGTGAAGGAGTTGGAGCGACAGCGTTAGAACATTTAATTTGGCTTTATGTTGTAATTATGACTTGCGGGAAGTGGCCTGGCGTGTATGAATGCTGTTGCTGGAAAGAGCACTTGAGCATCAGCGAAAATTCTGAAAGCTGTGTTTACAACGGACGCACACACAACAGAAAGCAAACCGTGGAGACGAGGGTTTTGGAAACGTGCCCTCCTCGGCATTCATTATAACCAATAATTAATTAAGAGATTTTTTAAAGTCCCTTCCTTGGCATCACGTTCCTCAGTGAGAATGCGGATGAGAAGTCAGAGGTGTTTGGGACATAAGTGCAAGTAGTTACGGGCAGGGTTTTTCAGTTTTGGTTTTTAAAGAGAATGAAAACGAAGTGGGGAGACAGCGGCACAGTGTGCGGTGCCCTGCCGGCCAGGCCACGCTTTCTCCACCCTGACTCCCACGTTCGCTCAACAGTATGAGAACTTCACGGTAACATGGAAGGGATCCCCGCACTCCCTCTAATGCTATTTCTGTTCGATGCGTTCTTTGGCTGCGAATTTGAGAACTGCCTTTTTGGCAAAGCCAGTGAGTTTTGTGTTTTCAGATCAACCGAAAGGACGTTGACTTTCAGGTTCCCGATCCTTCTGAATCCAATCCCAAATTTAAAACAGCATCCGATCCTGGCTACAGCCTGAGCTGGGCCCCAGGTCAGCCAAGCTTCCCAGGTGGAAAGGAAGGAATCCAGGTTGCCCAAGATGCTGTGGCCTGGGTGACAGTTACCAGCCTCCAGAGAGGCCTCAGCCTTCGGGGTGCCTTGCTCAGAGCAGGCACATACCTCTCACCGCAAGAGCCATCTGACCATGGTTACTCGACCCCTCCCCCAGAGTGAGTTCACTGTCCACCAGAGGGGACAGCTCCCACTGCCAGGCTTCGGTGAAACCACGTGGACTGTGGAAGCAACCCAGTGTCCACTGATGAATGAATGGAGAAACGAAAGGTGATTTATCCGTAGGGTGGGACAGCACCCGGCCTTGGAAAGGAAGGGAACATGGACGGCACCTAAGGATGTTCTGCTGAGTGAAACAACCAGCCACAAAAAGACGAACCTTGCACGATTCCACTCACATGAGGAAGCTAAGGGGTCAAAATCATAGAGACGGAAAGTAGGATTGCGGGTGCCAGGGCTGGGGGAGGAAACAGGGAGTTCGTGTTTCATGGGGGACAGAGTCTCATTTGGGAAGATGGAAAGTTCTGGAGCTGAATAGTGGTGACGGTTGCACAGCAGCGCAGATGTGCTTAATGCCACTGAAGTGTGCACTTAAAATGATAAAAATGGCAAATTTTATGTTATGTATGTTTCACCACAATAAAAAAGGGAATAGCATTTTTCTTGTCAAATGGGGCTGGTGGTAGCTGCTCTGTAGCCTCATAAAGAAGTTCCTAAGTTTTTTTTTTATTTCCTTTTTTTAAATTTGGGTTTAAAACTGCTGTTTCCTTTTTCACTGTGGTAAAATATACATAACATAAAATTTACCATTTGAACCATAAGTTAGCCCAGGCCCTGCTTCTGGCCCCTGCTCTTCCTGAGTCCTGGTTGGTGCCCCCTTCATCCGTCCATACTTGCCACAAGCCCCTCTTGTCCGGTCCTGGGCACAGAGGTCCTGGTGGAAGAGACAGTCCCTGCCCAAGAACAGGGAAGGACATAGATGGGAGAAGGGACCCACTGCCCAGGGGACCAGCACCAGAGCTCAGCTCTCGGGCTCCCTGCGTGGCCCTGGCCTCTCGACCTCGCTGGACTCAGTCTCCTGACGTCTCCAGTGAAGAGCTGGAGTGGTGAGTCCCAGAGCCACTTCCGGCATGGGACAGAGGCCTGTACCTCAACACCAGCGATTTGCTGTGTGATCTTAGGCAAGTCAATATGTGTCTCTGGGACATACAGTGAGTTGTCTAAGATCACACAAACCCCCCACCACTTTAAAAAAAAAAATGGAGGGGATTTGATCAAGATCATGTCAGGATCCTTTCCAGTTTGGACATCCTGTGATTTTGGAATCTTCACCCACAGTTCTGAGCTTTTAAAAAATCCACATTTGTGTTATTTCCTTGTGATAGGGGAGAATAGCCCTGATGTCAGATCTCACTTGCTTATAGTGCTGTGTGCGTGCACATGTGAATAAAGGAATGTTCAGAAACGCTTTTCCTAACAGAGAACCTGTTCCCCGGGGCCAAGCGCAGAGTCCGTGTAACTTGCCTTTGAAGTGTGTCACCTGCTGCGTGACCACAAGAGGGCGGTGCATGCAATGGATTTTGTCAGCACGCGGGGGCCAGAGCTCACAACTTTAATTTGAGAGTTTTTCTTCCCTGGAGTCTCTTGCAGGGTCTTTCTCTGGGAGGCTCAATGCCTCCCGCATCTTCTTCAACAGGCTGAACACACATGTGGAAGCAGCTGAAGAACTGAGACTACTTAAAAGCAGAATATTTTGTAATCACCAAATAGAATCCATTTCGTAATAAAACTGGCTACAAAATATTTTAGGGTTCAGTATGATACATCACAAAGTAATTTAGGCAAGGAAGCACACCAGGCTTAAAAATCAAACGTGGCACCCTGCAGGTTTGCAGCCATGCCTCCAGCAGGCGGGTCGGGTTGGCGAGTTTCTAAACTTTGAGGAGGGAAGGCTGGGTGGCCAGGCTCCATCCAGAGCCTCTTGGCTCACTGTGCCGCCAGCAGTGTAATTGCATCCTGGTGTGACCCACAGGCTGTATCTACAACACTGCGCTGGTGAAGCAATGCTGTTACTAGATTTGAAAACAGGCAAAATGGCTCTGAAAGGAGAGAAAAATGGAAAAGCTCCTTTCCCCAACATTCCACTCCTCTGTCTTCATGGCCTCTGCGTTGGTCCAGCCAGAGGGATTATTTGAGTCCTGTGTCCCAGCCCACCTTTCCCTGGCTTAATGGTGCAGCCACACCTCTGGTTGAGAATACACGCCTGTGTAACTCATTGATTCTGATCTCCTTCATGCTCAGCACCTGCTTCCTTTAGCATCCCCAATGCAAGCGCTTCGAAGCCCATGCTGACAGCCTGGTCATATATCCTTTGGCCCCTCTGCATAAGTAGGAGAGGGGAGAGCTCCTCCTAAAAGTGCTGTGCCCTTAGTAACTGACTATTATTGAATTAGAATGGTGGAGTGAGGAGTTCCTCTCTGCCAGGCACTGTCCTAGGATTTGCATTTGTGAAGAATCACTTGCTTTCCAATTGACTTTGTAACTTTATTTGTGATTGGTTTTCAATGGCAGCCAACATTTCTTCTTTAACTTCCTCTATCTCTCGCTTTTTCTTCCTATGGTCATCTAAACACCTTGAAAAGATGAAGACATCATATATGAAAGTTAAGGCACCATGGGTCATGCATCTTTTAACTATAATTTTGTCCTGGGATCTGCTACCGACTGGTGCTATCAGTAGTCGATAGCACAGTGCTAGAGCAGAGAAGAAAGACTCCACACAGCTGGGATTAGAGACAAATTTGTTACATTCACACTTCAACCCAAGTTTGTCAGACACGTGTCTAAACGACCCATGAATTATTTATTAAGCAAACATTTATTAAAAGCCTACATTGTGCAAAACGAAGTCACTGAGCCTTAAGGATGTGATATGAATTAATTCAACAGGTTCCTTGGCCTCAAAACTATCACCGTGAGAAACAAGACACATATACAGATGTGTGTGAAGAGAGCAGTGACACTTCTTCAGCTGGTGACAAATGCCTTCAGCGCCCTTTGTTACTCCCAGTTAAGTTCATTTGCTCATCCGTTCATGTAATCTACGCGCATGCAGTTTCCACTGAATGTCAGGTGCCATGTCAGGCATGGGGGTGTTGAGATGAGGAAGGCTGACCTAGTGCAGATGGACTGAGTGTAAGGTGCCATGTCAGGCATGGGGGTGTTGAGATGAGGAAGGCCGACCTAGTGCAGTTGGACTGAGTGTCAGGTGCCATGTCAGGCATGGGGGCGTTGAGATGAGGAAGGCCGACCTAGTGCAGATGGACTGAGTGTCAGGTGCCATGTCAGGCATGGGGGCGTTGAGATGAGGAAGGCCGACCTAGTGCAGATGGACTGAGTGTCAGGTGCCATGTCTGGCATGGAGGCGTTGAGATAAGGAAGGCTGACCTAGTGTAGATGGACTGAATGTCAGGTGCCATGTCAGGCATGGGGGCATTGAGATGAGGAAGGCCAACCTAGCGCAGATGGAGAGAACCACAGCACAAAGACTTTGTCACAGACCAAATTTACCCTCCATAGGAAACAAAAACACACAAAAAGCAGACCAAATATGAAAAACAACGGTCTTCCGAACACTGGAAGGAGGCAGTGAAGGACAGTGATCCCTGTGGGATGGGAAGGAAACCATTGAGCCCTATGGTAGCCCAATGCACTGCCTTGAGTTTTCAGGCCACAGAACAAGAAGGAGGCATCTCCTCCACTCAGGCAGAGCCCAGCAGACTCTCTGAGTTGGGAAGATAGAGATTTCGGGGAGACCAGTGCAACTACCCTTGGCAGGGCAGAGTCCCAGAGAGGAGAGAATCCAGAGATCTGCAGAGGCTCACCTTCAGGATTGGCGGGTGTGTGTGAGGAAACTGCCCAAGACCGAGCAAAGAATCACCTTAAAGATGAAAGGAAATAATGCCTGGCACTCACATCGGTCTGCAAATAGCACCTGTGCCCACATGACAAACTGGAAATCTCAGAGGACATCGGGTGGCGTATCAGTACTTGCCTGAGTATTGGAGAATAAGTACCCTTAGTGTAAACGAGGTTCCGGTTCCACCTAACAAACTTCAAAAGTAAGATCCAAGAGGATCAAGAAACTCAGTCGCATCCCAGAACAAACCTCAAGAATATGTGCAGATATACAAAAACACCCAGCACCCAACGAGATGAAATTCTCAATATCTGGCATCCAATCAAAGATTACCAGGCAGATAAAGAAACAGAAAAATATGTCCTATAATAAGGAGAAAAATCAATCAAAACAGACCCAGAACTGATGCAGATGTTAGAATTAGCAGACAAAGAAATAAAAGTTACCATAACTGTATTCCATATGTTTTAAAAGTGGAGTAAAGATGTGGAAGATATAAAAAGGACAAATTAAAGTTTTAAAGATGAAAACTATAATGGCTGAAATGAAAAACACACTGGATGGATTCATGGCAGGTTACACGTTACAGAATAAAATATTAGTGAACTTGAAGACACGGTAATAGAAGCTCTCCGAAATGAAACATAGAGGGGAAAAAAGTCATTTTTTCTTTTTGAGAAGAAGTTGGGCCAAGTTTCTTCTTTTTAAGTTTTGTTTTTTTTGTTTTTGTTTTTGTTTTTGAGGCGGAGTCTCACTATAGCCCAGGCTGGAGTGCAGTGGTGCGACCTCCGCTTACTGCAAACTCTGTCTCCTGGGTTCACGCCATTCTCCTGCCTCAGCCTCCCGAGTAGCTGGGACTACAGGCACCTGCCACCACTCCCAGCTATTTTTTTTTTTTTTTTGTATTTTTAGTAGAGACGGGGTTTCACCGTGTTAGCCAGGATGGTCTCGATCTCCTGACCTCGCAATCCGCCCGCCTCGGCCTCCCAAAGTGCTGGGATTACAGGCGGGAGCCACCGCACCCGGCCCTTTTTAACTTTTATTTTCGGTTCAAGGTGCGTGTGCAGTTTGTTACGTAGGTAAACTGTGTGTCACAGGGGTTTGGTGTACAGATTATTTCATCACCCAGGTAATGAGCATAGTACCCAATAGGTAATTTCATGATCCTCTCTCTCCTCTCACCCTCCACCCTCAAGCAGGCCCTGTTGTCTCTTGTTCTCCTCTTTGTGTTCATGTGTCCTCGTTGTTTCACTGCCACTTATAAGTGAGAGCATGGTATTTGGTTTTCTGTTCCTGCGTGAATTTGCTTAGGATCATGGCCTCCAGCTCCATCAATGTTGCTGCAAAGGACATGATTTCATGCTTTTTTATGGCTGCATAGTATTCTATGGTGTATGTTTTCTTTATCCAGTCTACCATTGTGGGGTATTTAGGTTGATCCACCTCTTTGCTATTGTGAATAGTGCTGCAACAAACATACGCATGCATGTGCCTTTATGGTGTTTTTTTAAGTGAAAATTGTATCAGTGAGATATGGTACAACTTCAAGTGGCCTAATATATGTGTAATTGAAGTCCCTGAAGGAGAGGAGAGAAAGTGGGATAGAAAATATATTTGAAGCAGTAATGGTCAAAAAATTTTCCAAATTTGATGAAAACTATAAACTGATAGACCCAATAAGCTCAATGAGCCTTAATCTTGAGGAAACTACGTGAAGAAAACCACACCAAAGGCAGGTCATAATCAAACGGCTCAAAGCCAGTGATGGACAGGACAATCTTAAAAGTGACCAGAGAAAAGTGGCATTTTGCATGCAGGGGACGGATGATAAGATGAGAGCAGATTTCTCATCAGAAACAATACGGGCAAGAAGATGGTGGAGTAACACATTTAAATTACAAAAACGAAAATGCCATGAGCCTAAAACTCTACGCCTGTCTCCATTACCTTCCGAAACTAAAGGTCAAACAGAGTCTTTTTTCAGAGGAACTCAAGCTGAAAGCATTTTTCACCAGCAGACACACTACAAGAAATGTTCAAGAAAGTCCCATCAGAAGAAAAATGACACCAAACGGAAATTCGGATCTACACAGAGGAATGAAGAGTACCGGAAACAGTAACTATGTGAGTAAATATATTGATAGTTTTCTTATTATACAGAATCTCTTTAAAATAAAATTGACCATTTAACAAAAATAATAACAGAGCATGAGGTTCCTAACATATGTATAAGTAAAATGAATGGCAACCTTAGCATCAAGGCTGGGAGTGAAGATGTGAAAGTATACTATTGTAAGGTTTTTATACTATACCTAAAGTCGTGTATTACTTCAAGACAGACCGTCATAACTTAGAGGTGCATATAGACCCTAAGGCGATCACTGAAATAACAAAAGAAAGAATTATAGGGCTGGGCGTGGTGGCTCACACCTGTAATCACAGTACTTTGGGAGGCCGAGGTGGGTGGATCATGAGGTCAAGAGATTGAGACCATCCTGGCTAACACGGTGAAACCCCGTCTCTACTAAAAATACAAAAAATTAGCCGGGCGTGGTGGCGGGTGCCTGTAGTCCCAGCTACTCTGGAGGCTGAGGCAGGAGAATGGCGTGAACCCAGGAGGCGGAGCTTGCAGTGAGCTGAGATTGCGCCACTGGACTCCAGCCTGGGTGACAGAGCGAGACTGTCTCAAAAAAAAAAAAGAAAGAATTATAGCTAATAAGCTATATGAGTGGATAAAATGGAATCATAGAAACTATTCAATTAATCTAAAAGAGGGCTAAAAGGGGAACAAAAAACAGATGAGACAAATAGATGATAAGCTTAAGCTGAACCATATCAATCATCATATGAAATCTACACTGTCTAAATGCCTCAATTAAAAGGCAGATGTCAGCTTTGATGAAAAGCAAGTCTATGATGCTTACAAGAAACCCACTTTATATAGAAAGACAAAAAAATATTAAATGTAAAAGGATGGAAAAAGATACACCATGCTAAGACTAATCAACCATAAATCTGGAGCGTTTACTCATCAAAGTGGACTTCAAAGCAAAGAATATCACCAGGGATAAAGAAATGAATGATCATTTCATAATGATAAAGGGATCAATTCATCAAAAGGACATAACAATCCTAACTGTTCATTTATCTTATTATAGAGCTTCAAAATACACGAAGCGAAATCTGACAGAACCACAACAAGAACTAGACAAATCCATAATTGTCAACAGAGATTCCAATATCGTCAATAATTGATAGAACATATGGACAGAAAATCAATAATGATATAGAAGAGTTGAACAGCACCTGCTGCCAGGTCTGTCCACCCAGATCATGGAACCAGCTCCTCCTGGCTTGGCGCACAGCCACAAAAGACCTGTCGCCGGGACCACCTGCAACCGGTTTCCATCATCCTCCAGCACATGAGGTGTATTTCCACTTCTTTCTTCTTGTATAGGACATTTCTGCCTGCAGCGGCCTCCTGACTAGTCTCCAGATTTCCAGGAATTCAAAGACCCAGTTTGTCCTCCCAACCCTTAGTGGGCAATTAGTCTTCATTTTCAGATGTGCGACTGAGGTTTGGGAGCTGACTCGAGCCACACAGCTGCATAGCTGGGGCCAGCGTCCAAGCTCAGGGGCCTCTGCCTGTGTCTTGTACCCTAAGTCCTGGTGTCCCTGCTGTCCCTGGGTGCAGCTGTTGAGTTCCTTGGGAAAGGGTAGGACCGATATTCAGGCCCCACAACCGTGGGACTTATACCCCTTTGGGAAGGGCATTATACCTCTTGGGGAAGGGCATTATCTCCCCACCTGCCTGACCTCTGGCCCTTCATGGCACCATGGCAGGTGCCACATCAGTGTTTGCAAATGAGTGAGGCTTTGGCCTGAGCTGGTCTTGGGCTCAATGTAAAACTAGAATTCAGTTCTTTTCAGGGTCCTATGCCAGAACCATGACTATGCTGAGCCTGGACCCCTGGGTGGCCCAGTGGGGTACCCTGAAAAGCCTGCCCCAGCTTCCCAACTGGAGATGTGGGGCCCCTGGACCGAACAGGTGCTTCCTCTGCTCTCTGCTGTGAGACGCAACAGCGCATGGGGCCAGGGTGGTGGGTGCATATCTCTGGACCCATCTGAGGCATGTGAAGGTTTCCTCAGAGTGCAGAAAGCATAGAGGGTCCCAGGCACAGCCATGAGGGTGGAGAATTGCCAGCTCAGCCATGCTCTGTCTTCTGAGGAGCCCTCTCCCATGGGTTTGTGCCAATCTGCAGCTCCCTCCCCTGACATGGAAGCTTCCGGAGCTCCTCGCTCTGCTCCATTTAGCAAAACCACCCATCAGTTCTCAAACAGAGCTGCCCCATGTGGTCCCTGCACAGTGGAGGACTCAGTCTTCCTCCCTGGGCAGCCTCGTGGTGAGGCTGGGGCTACTGCTTCAATGTCCCCCAAGGGCCGGCTATGTGGGCCCAGGGAAAGTGGAGCGACTCGGGCTCATTTGTCCTGGCAGGAAACCACCTTGGCCGGAAACACAGGCATGTTCTTCATCAGCCATGCGGGGCCTCGAGGGCCTGGCGGGATCTTACGTGCGCTTTTCCCGTTCCCGCCTGCTCTCTTCTGCACAAAGTCACCGGTGAGATGAACCCTTTCCTAAAAGAAAGCAATCTGCTGACACGTAACTGCAAAAAGAGGAAACACTCCCACTGTCTGAGAGAGAAAAGGGCAGACAGATTATGTCTCTGGAATGTTCCATGCTACCTAAAGGAGGGTTCAGGCTTCAACTGGCCCTGGCCACCCTTCAGCCAGGAGTGGCAGACTAGGCTCTGGAGCTGGGCAGCCCCATTTGCCTGGCAAAGGGAAACTGGGCCCTGGAGACCTGTCCTCAGAGGGACAGTGGGGGTCTGCCTCAGAGACTGTGGGGTGACCACACCCCAAGACCACCTCGGAGCTGGTAAGCAGGAAGTCAGGCCTCACGTCCAGGGCTTCTGGGTCTCTGGGCCTCTGGGTCTCTGGGCCTCCGGATATTCAGGGGTTCCCGCACAAGCCTGCCCGCGACTTAGTGCTGGAAGTCCAGAGACACAGGCACAGAACCCAGGCCTGCTGGCCTCAGGAATTAGACCACGCTCTGGGACCATGAGCCTCATGGGAGAACAAAGACGTGGAGGAGCTTTCCACAGCCTTCGGGGAGCTTCAAGGCACTTCCATGCTGAGTGACTTCTCTGACCAACGTCCTTCCTCTTTCCATGCTCAGTGACTTCTCTGACAAACGTCCTTCCCCTTTCCATGCTCAGTGACTTCTCTGACAAACGTCCATCCTCTTTCCATGCTGAGTGACTTCTCTGACAAACGTCCTTCCTCTTTCCATGCTGAGTGACTTCTCTGACAAACGTCCTTCCCCTTTCCATGCTGAGTGACTTCTCTGACAAACGTCCTTCCCCTTTCCATGCTGAGTGACTTCTCTGACAAACGTCCTTCCTCTTTCCATGCTGAGTGACTTCTCTGACAAACGTCCTTCCTCTTTCCATGCTCAGTGACTTCTCTGACAAACGTCCTTCCTCTTTCCATGCTGAGTGACTTCTCTGACAAACGTCCTTCCCCTTTCCATGCTGAGTGACTTCTCTGACAAACGTCCTTCCTCTTTCCATGCTCAGTGACTTCTCTGACAAACGTCCTTCCCCTTTCCATGCTGAGTGACTTCTCTGACAAACGTCCTTCCCCTTTCCATGCTGAGTGACTTCTCTGACAAACGTCCTTCCTCTTTCCATGCTGAGTGACTTCTCTGACAAACGTCCTTCCTCTTTCCATGCTGAGTGACTTCTCTGACAAACGTCCTTCCTCTTTCCATGCTCAGTGACTTCTCTGACAAACGTCCTTCTTCTTTCCATGCTGAGTGACTTCTCTGACAAACGTCCTTCCTCTTTCCATGCTGAGTGACTTCTCTGACAAACGTCCTTCCTCTTTCCATGCTGAGTGACTTCTCTGACAAACGTCCGTCCTCTTTCCATGCTGAGTGACTTCTCTGACAAACGTCCTTCCCCTTTCCATGCTGAGTGACTTCTCTGACAAACGTCCTTCCCCTTTCCATGCTGAGTGACTTCTCTGACAAACATCCGTCCCCTTTCCATGCTGAGTGACTTCTCTGACAAACGTCCTTCCTCTTTCCATGCTGAGTGACTTGTCTGACAAACATCCTTCCTCTTTCCATGCTGAGTGACTTCTCTGACAAACGTCCTTCCTCTTTCCATGCTCAGTGACTTCTCTGACAAACGTCCTTCCTCTTTCCATGCTCAGTGACTTCTCTGACAAACGTCCTTCCTCTTTCCATGCTCAGTGACTTCTCTGACAAACGTCCTTCCTCTTTCTATGCTGGGATTTTTCCTCTTAGCACCTGAACCTACCCAGGTTTACAGGAATTGGGAGCAAATTTGGGAACGGACTCCAGCCTCCAGGTGAGGAGAAGCAGGCTGCAGTGTGGCTCTCTGGGCGGCTGCAGAGAGGTGTGCACCCTGGAGAAAGGCTCGTTTGTATTGAGAGGTGTTCCATGACTTTTAACAGTGACTTGAGTCAGCCGACATCTCCCCTTCCCCACTGCATCCGGGCCCCCCTACCCGCTGTCTGTCCCCACCGCACCCAGGCTCCCCGCCCTGCTCTCTGGCCACTCCCCTTCTCATGAGCAGCCGCCTTCCTCAGGGCTTACTCGACAGGCCCCAGGTAACTCCGGGTTGCCCAGCTTGTCACCTGCTGCATCCCTCTGTTGCTTTGGCATTTCCACTTGCATTGCCTCTCGCTCTCGATGTGCCTGTGACTGCACCACTCCAGGTCCACACGCCATCCAGCTGCTCAGAACAGGAACTGGGAAGGCAGCCGAGTTATCCTTCTTTCTCATGCCTACCTCCAGCCGGTGCCCAGTCCTGCCCATTTCCCCTCCAGATATCTCGAGTCCCACTGCTTCTCTCCACACCAAGCACACTTGCTCCCATCCAGCCTGTCCAATCCGGCCTCTGGGGGGCAACTAAACTGCTGCTGATCGTCCTGCTACAGAGCTTGCTCCACACCCATTGCAACGGGGGTGACCCCCAAAACTCAACCAGGATTGCACCACTCCTGTGTTCAAGACCCTCCACCGGTGTCCCACCACACTGTGAGTATAGCCGCATTCTTTTCCTCCAACGGGAGTTCGTAAAACCCAGCTCCCGCTCACTCCATCCCCTCTCTCTGGACTCCAGCCCTGACTCAGGGCCTGGCTCTCCCTGGGCCACGCTGCCACCTCCCACCCTGGGGGTCTCTGCTGTGAGTTACCCTGCAGACGCCGCCCCACAACCACCTGTCTCAGGAAGATCTCCCACCCCAGTGTTCCAGGTCCCAAGGCCTCGGTGCCTCACAACTTATTCCGACTGGTTACTTATTAACCTGCCTACAGTCTCTTTTCACAAGGCATGGACTCCACAAGGCTAGGGCTGTTCTGTTTCCTCTGTCCCAGCACTGACATCGTGCCCTGCCTGCCCTCAGCACTAACAAAGACTTACTGATCAAAAGGAATGAATTCTTGAAACAGCCTGGAGATGTCCGGTACCCTGCTATTTGGCTCATGTTTGTTCAAATCTCTTCCCATATTTTTCTGCCCATTGGAATCCTTCTCATGGATTGCCTCCTCCAGGAAGTCTTCCAGGACGTGCCCTGGTCCTCTTTTGCTCTCTCAGTCACTTTCCCTGCTCTTCTGTTGAGCCCTGGAACAGGAACTCATGGCTTTCCAGCTCCTACTGGAGATGCAGCACCTTGAGATGGGGAATCCAATGTCTGCTTCTCAGACCCTGGTGGCCAGAGGGGACCATGGCAGAGGTCCCTGTGGGCCTTTGGTGGGCTGTGGCCGATTTGGTTGTTGAGTGGTCAAATTGTCTTGAGGAAACAGGGCAACACTAGCTTTCTTGAGAGCCAATGGAGTGTGTGCAGTCCACACCTTGTGGAAACACACTCCAAGGGGCCCAGGCATGAAAGATCCATGACACAGAGTCAGGGCCTCAGGAAGGCAGGTGATATGGTTTGGCTGTGTCCCCATTAAACCTCAACTTAAATTGTATCTCCCAGAATTCCCATGAGTTGTGGGAGGGACCCAGGGGGAGGTAATTGAATCATGAGGGCTGGTCTTTCCTGTGCAATTCTCGTGATAGTGAGTAAGTCTCACAAGATCTGATGGGTTTATTGGGGTTTCCACTTTTGCCTCTTCCTCATTTTCTCTTGCTACTGCCATGTAAGAAGTGCCTTTCACCTCCCACCATGATTCTGAGGCCTCCCCAGCCATGTGGAACTCTAAGTCCAATTAAACCTCTTTTTCTTTCCAGTCTTGGATATGTCTTTATCAGCAGCATGAAAATGGACTAATACAGCAGGGAACCCCTGCAGCATCTGGCCAGGCCACCACATCCGGGACAGAGTTTGGAGGGCGGATGGCTGTTCTAGGCATTCGCGTGTGAAGCTTTTAACCCAAGGGCTCTGCAAATGGCTTCTTGATTGGCTGTGATTTCTTCTGAAAACATTTATGATCTTTTGAAGTATTCATAAGTGTAAAGGGGTCTGGGGCGGGAACTCCCCTTTGGCGGTGGTTAGCTGTTTCTGTGACTGAAGTTAGAATTTGGCAAGATAGCCATGGTGGGTGGAGCTGAAGGTCAGAGGTGAAATTCCTCTTATTCTGTAATGAGCATTAATGAAGTGATGGGGCCTGCATTACTGGAGGAAATAGCAGGCTTGGAGGCAGGGCCTCGGCCAGCAGAGGTTGAGTGACAGGTACTGTGTGCAAGCAGGTGATAGGAGCATGAGTCTCCTCCCTGGAACGAGGTGCGAGGTCATTTGTCATATTCACTTTCTCAGGAGCTAATAGGCAGCTTGTGGAAATCATGAAGCAAATAAGTCTATTTTAAAAAGCATGTGAAAATCTCCTGCTTGCTGGCCTTTCTATAAAGAGATTACGTGCCAGGAGGATAACTTTAGGCAAAAACATCACAAAACAGCCTGGTTTCCACAGAGGGAAAGTGGTGCTGATGCAGCGTCGATGGCAGAGGGGGAAGGATAGGAACACCTGAATGCCCCTCACGGCCACCCTGGCCTGCTACCTGCAGCCCGTGTCCCCACCCGCTCTGCAGGGAGAGCCAGGTGGCTCCCTCGGGATGGCGGCAGTGGACCGGGCAGCGAGGGTGGAGGAAGGGTATGGATACAGGTTTCTGTGGCAGGAGGACAGGAAAGATGAAAAAGCTTCAGCAACTTGTTCCCAGGCCGGAAACGCCACCTGTCATGTGTTGAATTGTGTCCCCTGCCAAGTTCGTATGTCGAAGTCCTAACCCCAGTATCTCAGGATGTGGCCTTATTTGGAAATGAGGTTTGCAGATGTCATTGGTTGAGATGAGGTCACACTGGAGGATGGTGGGCCCTGGCCCCCTGTGCCTGGTGTCTGTGTGAGAAGATGGCCCCATGGAGAGACATGCAGGTGGGAACCACAGGACAATGAAGGAGCCAAAGGCCTCAGCGAGCCCCAGATGCTCGGGAGGCCTGAACAGATTCTCCCTCATGGCCTTAGAAGGACTCGCCCTGCAGATAGCTTGATCTTGGACTTGCAGCCTCCAGAACTGCAGGGCAATGTGTTTCTGTGTCGGCCACCCAGGCCGCGGCCATTTTCTTAGAGTGGCCACAGGACTGACCCACCGCCCGCAGAGAGTGGTCTCTGTGTCCAAGACAGAGCTGCTCTCCCGGGTCTCCTGCACTGGCTGGGAGGTTGGGGCCAAGCATGGGCTGCCCAGGGTGCGAGAAGGGCCAGGAGAAGTGGCAGAAGTGGCTGACCCTTCTGGCTGGGGTCCCTCCCATCCCCAGGAGACAGGAGGAACAGTGTGGTCCCGGAGGGGCGAGCTCCCTGGAGGGAAGTTTCATCCCCTGAGCTGACGGGGTCAGTGATGTCACCTGCTGCCCCTCCTTTCCAGACCCGCTAGTCCTCCCTGGCCATTGCATGTGCCCCGAGGGTCCTGCACAAGCCAACAGTGCCCATGAGCCAGCCGGAGACGGAGCCGCCATGACACACACTCCCACCCTACG